>NC_000005.10:176062215-176212660 GCF_000001405.40 Homo sapiens | reverse complement strand
GATGTGAATTTTTCAGTCACAAACTCAGGTGTGCAAACAGTATAATTTTCTTCATTCTTAATACCTCATTAATTTCTGACTCTGCATTCTTGTTCTGCATAATGGCAGACAATGCCTTCCCTGTCCAGCTGAACCCATTCCTTTTGGGTGGCTTCACTGACAAACTTGGACACGGTCACTTCTCCAGATTCAGTGATGGCCTTTACTGGAGCCTGCTTCAGACTTGCTTATTGCCCTCTAAAAGAGTTTTGAAAATCTATATACCTCCTTTGTTGACATTTAAAGCTTTTTTTTATCGTAAGTTTAAATAGTTAAATACTAAGTTATTACATATATTGATGTTTACAAAATAAACTGTCACTATTATCCCATACTTTCTTTTCTATTTATTTTTTTGAGACGGGGTCTTGCTCTGTCACCCAGGCTGGGGTGCAGTGGTGCGATCACGGCTTATTGCAGCCTTGACCTCCTGGGCTCAAGTGATCCTCCTGGCTCAGCATCCTGAGTAGCTGGGACCACAGCATGTGCCACCACGCCTGGCTAATTTTTGTATTTTTGGTAGAGATGGGCTTTCGCCCTGTTGCCCAGGCTGGTCTTGAACTCCTGAGCTCAAGTGATCTCCTGCCTCAGCTTCCCAAAGTGCTGGGATTACAGGTGTGAGCCACTGTGTGCTGCCACTTTTTAAAATTTAAACAATTTTTTTAGAGGCAGGGTCTCACTATATTCCCTAGGCTGGTCTCCGAACTCCTGGGCTCAAGTAATCCTCCTATGTCAGCATCCCAAGTAGCTGGGTCTACAGGCACATGCTTCTGCACCTGGCTTACTATCCCATATTTTAAAATGTATCCAAAGAAATCTAAGTACCATAGCAATTTAAGTTCATTAAAAGTACCTTATATCCAATACTACTACATTACTTAGAGCTAAATTGATAGTTGTAAATGCCTATATTGAAAAGAAGAAAGATCTCAAATCAATAACTTAACCTTCCACTTTAAGAAACTGGAAAAGAAGATCAAACTACACTCAAAGCAAGCAGAAGGGAGGAAATATTAATGTGCAAAGTGGAAATAAATGAAAGAGGTAGAAAACGGAAAAAAATAAAGGAAACCAGAAGCTGGTTCTTTGAAAATATCAACAAAATTTACTTTTAGCTTTTAGCTAGGCTAATCAAGCATAGAGGAGAAAAGGTCCAAAATTACTAAAATTAGGAATGAGAGTGTAGATGTTACTACTGACCTTACAAAATAAAAAGAATTATAAGGGAATACTATGGACAACTGTGTCAAATTAGGTAACTTAAATGAAATGAACAAGTTTCTAGAAACACACAAACTACTGAAATTGACTCAAGAAGTGGAAAATCTGAAAGATGTATAACAAGAAAAGATATTGAATTAGTAATAAAAAATCCTTCCCCCACAAAAAAGCCCAGGGCCAGATGGCTTAACTGGTGAATTCTACCAAACATGTAAAGAGGAATTAATATTTATTGTTCATAAACTCTTCCATAAGCATAGAAGAGGAGGAAATACTTCCCAACTCCTTCTATGAGGCTAGTATTACCCAGATACCAAAGCCAGAAAAAAAACACAAGAAGGAAAACTACCAACCAATATCTCCTATGAATTTAGATATAAAAATCCTTAACAAAAGCCTAGTGAACTGAATCTAGCAACATATAAAGGGATGATATATCATGACCATATGGGATTTATCCCAGGAATGCATGCAGTTTGTTCATCAGATGAAAATCAATATAATACACCCTATTAATAGAATAAAGGACAAAACCCACATAATCATCTCAGTAACTTCAGATAAAGCATTTGATAAAATTCAAAATAAAAACAATGAATAAACTAGGAATAGGAGGGAAACTTCCCAACCCATGAAAGGGTATCTCTGAAAATCCACAGATAATTTCATGCTTTAGGGTAAAATATTGAGAGTTTTCTCCCTAAAGTCAAGAACAATACAAAGATGTTCACTCTCATTATTTCTATTAATATTGTATTGGAATTTCTAACCAGACAGGCTAGAAAAAGTATTAAAAGGCATCCAGATAGGAAAGGTGGAAGTAAAACTATGTTTGCAGATGACATGATCCTGAATATAGAAAATCCTAAGGCATCTACAAAACTATGACAGCTAATGAAGGAGTTCAGCAAGGTTTCAGGATACAGGACCAAAATACAAAACTCAGTTGTGGCTGGGTGTAGTAGCTCATGCCTGTAATCCCAGCACTTTGGGATGCTGAGGTAGGTGGATCACCTGAGGTAGGAGGTCAAGACCAGCCTGGCCAACATGGTGAAATGCCGTCTCTACTAAAAATATAAACATTAGTTGGGCATGGTGGCAGGCGCCTGTAATCCCAGCTACTCAGGAGGCTGAGGCAGGAGAATCACTTGAACCCAGGAGGCAGAGGTTACAGTGAGCCAAGATCACACCATTGCACTCCAGCCTGGGGCACAGAGCAAGACTCTGTCTCAAAACAAAACACCTCAGTTGCAGGATACAAGACCAAGACACAAAAATCAGTTGTATTTCTATACCCTAGTAATGAACACTCAAAAATGAAATTAAGAAAACAATTCTGATATGATTTGGATCCATGTCCCCACCTGAATCTCAGGTCGAATTATAATCCCTGGTGTTGGAAGTGGAGCCTGATGGGAGATGAGTGGATCATAGCAGCATTTTCTCATGAATGGTTTAGCACAATCCCCTTGGTGGTGTTCTCGTGATAGTGAGTTCTCTTGAGATCTGTTTGTTTAAAAGTGTATAGTACTTCCCCTCTCTCTGTCACTCCTGCTCCCACCATGTGAGATGCCTTGCTCTGCCTTTACCTTTTGCCATGATTGGAAGCTTCTCGAGGCCTCCCCAGAAGCAGAAGCCACTGTGCTTCCTGTACAGCCTGTAAAATCATGAGTCAATTAAAACTCTTTTCTTTATAAATTACCCAGTCTATGCCAGGCATGGTGGCTCATGCCTGTAACCCCAGCACTTTGGGAGGCTGAGACAGGTGGATCACTTGAGGCTAGGAGTAAATGACCAGCCTGGGCAACATAGTGAAACTTCGTCTCTACTAACAATACAAAAAATCAGCCAGGTGTGGTGGTGCATGCCTATAATCCCAGCTACTTGGGTGGCTGAGGCACGAGAATTGCTTGAACCCAGGGGGTGGAGGTTGCAGTGAGCCAAGATCACGCCACTGCACTCCAGCCTGGGTGACAGAGTGAGACTGTCTCAAAAATAAATAAATTTTAAAAAATAAATAAAATTAAAATTACCTAGTCTGAGGTATTTCTTTATAGCAATACAAGAACAGACTAATACAGAAAATTGGTACCAAGGAGTGGGGCATTACTATAAAGATAGCTGAAAATGTGGAAGCAGCTTTGGAACTGGGTAACAGGCAGAGGTTGCAAGAATGTGGAGGGCTCAGAAAACCGACAGGAAGATGAGGGAAAGCTTGGAACTTAGAGACTGGTTGAATGGTTAGACCAAAATGCTAGTAGTGATGTGGACAGTGAAGGCCAGGCTGATGAGGTCTCAAATGCAAATGAGGAACTTGATGGGAACTGGAGCAAAGGTCACTTTTGTTATACCTTAGCAAAGAACCTGGGTGCATAGCTGCATTGTGCCCCTGCCGTAGGGATCTGTGGAACTTTGAACTTGAGAGTGATGATTTAGGCTATCTGGTGGAAGAAATTTCTAAGCAGCACAGCATTCAAGATGTGACCTAGTTGCTTCTAACAACCTACACTCATATGCATGAGCAAAGAAATGACCTAAAGTTGGAACTTATATTTAAAGGGGAAGCAGAGTGTAAAAGTTTGGAAATTTTGCAGCCTGGAAAGAAAAGGCCCTTTTCAGGGGATGAATTCAAGCAGGCTGCAGAAATTTGCATATGTAAAAAGGTGCCAAGTGCTAATAGCCAAGACAATGGGGGAAAAGCCTAGAAGACATTTCAGAGACCTTCACCACGGCCCCTCCCATCACAGACTCAGAGGCCTAGAAGGGAAGAATGGTTTTCTGGGCCAGACCTAGGGCTCCTGCTGTCCTGTGCAGCCTCAGGACACTGCTCCCTGCATCCCAGCCTAGCCATGGCTCAAACAGGCCCAGGTACAGCTTAGGCCACTGCTTCAGAGGGTGCAAGCCATAAGCCTTGGTGGCTTCCATGTGGTAATATGCCTGTGAGTTCACAGAGTGCAAGAGTTGAGGCTTTGGAGCCTCTGCCTATATTTCAGAGGATGTATAGCAAAGCCTGAATGTCTAAGCAGAAGCCTCACTGCCCTAGTAGAGGTCCTCCATGAAGGCTCTGCCCCATGCAGCAGCATGGAGAACCTCTACCAGGGCAGTGAGGAGGGGAAATGTGGGGTTGGATTTCCCATGCAGAGTCCCCATTGGAACACTTCCTAGTGGAGCTGTGAGAAGAGATCCACCATCTTCCAGACCCCAGAATGGTAGATCCACCAGCAGCTTGCACTCTGTGCCTGGAAAAGCTTCAGGTACTCAAAACCAGCCCTTGAGAGTGGTGTCGGGGGCTGAGCCTTGCAAAGCCACAGGGGCAGAGTTGCCCAAGGCCTTGGGAGTCCACCCCTTCCATCAGTTGCCCTGGATGTGGGACATGGAGTCAAAGGAGATTATTTTGGAGTTTTAGGATTTAATGACTGCCCTGCTGGGTTTCAGACTTGCATGGGGCCTGTAGCCCCTTTGTTTTGGTCAATTTCTCCCTTTTGGAATGGGAATATTTACCTAATTCCTATACCTCAATTGTATCTTGGAAGTAACTAACTTGTTTTTGATTTTACAGACCTATAGGTGGAAGGAACTAGCCTTGTCTCAGATGAGACTTTGGACTTTGGACTTTTGAGTTAATGCTGGAATGAGTTAAGACTTTAGGGGACTGTTGGGAAGGCATGAAATGTGGAAAGGACCTGACATTGGGGACTGTCAAATTGTAATCCTCAATGTTTGAGGTCGGGCATGGTGGGGGGTGATTGGACCCTGGAGGCGGTTTCTCTGTTTGAGGTCGGGCATGGTGGGAGGTGATTGGATCATGGAGGCGGTTTCTCTGTTTGAGGTCGGGCATGGTGGGAGGTGATTGGACCATGGAGGCGGTTTCTCTGTTTGAGGTCGGGCATGGTGGGGGGTGATTGGACCATGGAGGCGGTTTCTCTGTTTGAGGTTGGGCATGGTGGGGGGTGATTGGACCCTGGAGGCGGTTTCTCTGTTTGAGGTCGGGCATGGTGGGGGGTGATTGGACCCTGGAGGCGGTTTCTCTGTTTGAGGTCGGGCATGGTGGGGGATGATTGGACCATGGAGGCGGTTTCTCTGTTTGAGGTCGGGCATGGTGGGAGGTGATTGGACCATGGAGGCGGTTTCTCTGTTTGAGGTCGGGCATGGTGGGGGGTGATTGGACCCTGGAGGCGGTTTCTCTGTTTGAGGTCGGGCATGGAGGGAGGTGATTGGATCATGGAGGCGGTTTCTCTGTTTGAGGTCGGGCATGGTGGGAGGTGACTGGACCATGGAGGCGGTTTCTCTGTTTGAGGTCGGGCATGGTGGGAGGTGATTGGACCCTGGAGGCGGTTTCTCTGTTTGAGGTCGGGCATGGTGGGGGGTGATTGGACCATGGAGGCGGTTTCTCACGAATGGTTTAGCACCATTCCCGTGGTGCCATTCTCATGATAGTGAGGGAGATCTCATGAGATCTGGTTGTTTAAAAGTACATAGGCCCCAGCCAGGTGCAGCGGCTCATGCCTGTGAGCACTTTGGGAGGCTGAGGCAGGTGGATTTTCTGAGCTCAGGAGTTCGAGACCAGCCTGGGCAACACAGTGAAACCCCATCTCTACTAAAATACAAAAAATCAGCTGGACATGGTGGCGCTCACCTGTAGTCACAGCTACTTGGGAGGCTGAGGCACGAGAGTTGCTTGAACCCGGGAGGTGGAGGGTGCAGTGAGCCAAGATCACACCACCGCACTCCAGCCTGGGTGACAGAGTGAGACTCCATCTCAAAAAAAAAAAAAAAAAAAATGATATAGACTGGGTGCGGTGGCTCACATTTGTAATCCCAGCACTCTGGGAGGCCGAGGTGGGTGGATCACTTGAGGTCTGGAGTTCAAAACCAGCCTGGCCAACATGGTGAAACCCTGTCTCTACTAAAAATACAAAAATTAGCCGAGCATGGTGGCATGTGCTTATAATCTCATCTACTCGGGAGGCTGTGGTGGGAGAATCACTTGAACCTGGCAGGCAGAGGTTGCAGTGAGCCAAGATCATGCCACTATACTCCAGCCAGAGTGACAGAGTGAGACTCCGTCTCAAACAAACAAAAGTATATGGCACCCCCACCCCCACCCCCTCTTCCTTCTGCTTTCACCATGTGAGATACCTCACTTCTCCTTTGCCTTCTGCCATGATTGGAAGCTTCCTGAGGCCTTCCCAGAAGCAGAAGCTGCTGTGCTGCTTGTACAGACTGCAGAACCATGAGCCAATTAAACCTCTTGTCTTTATAAATTACTCAGTCTCAGGTATTTATTTATAGTAATGCAAGAATAGATTAACACATTCCATTTACAATAGCATCAAAAATAATAAAATGCTTAGGAATAAATTTAACAAAAGAAGTGTAAAACTTGTGCACTGAAAACTAGAAAACATTTTTCTTTTTCTTTTTTTTTTTTTTTTTTTGAGATGAAGTCTTGCTTGTCACCCAGGCTGGAGTGCAGTGACATAATCTCGGCTCACTGCAACCTCTGCTTCCTGGGTTCAAGCCATTCTCCTGCCTCAGCCTCCCCAGTAGGTGAGATTACAGGTGCACACCACCATGCCCAGCTAATTTTTGTATTTTTAGTGGAGACGGGGTTTCACCATGTTGGCCAGGCTGTTCTTGAACTCCTGACCTCGTGATCTGCCCGCCTCGGCCTCCCAAAGTGCTGGGATTATAGGCGTGAGCCACCGCGCCCAGCCTAGAAAACATTTTTCAAAGAAACTAAAGAAGACCTAAATAAAAAGAAAGACATTTTGCATGCATGGATTGAAAGACTTAACGTTAATATGTCAGTGTTTCCCAAATTAATCTGTAGATTCCACACAATCCCTGTCAAAAGACTTTTTTGTAGACAAGTGGACCCAGTAGAAATACAACGAACCCAATATAGGCAAAATAATCTTGAAAAAAAGAAAGAATATAGTTGGAAAAAATATTTGTTTTTTTTTTGTTGTTGTTGTTTTTGAGACAGAGTCTTGCTCTGTCGCCCAGGCTGGAGTGCAGTGGCGCAGTCTCGGCTCACTGCAACCTCCACCTCCCAGGTCCACGCCATTCTCCTGCCTCAGCCTCCTGAGTAGCTGGGACTACAGGCACCCGCCACCAAGCCCGGCTAATTTTTTTTTGTATTTTTAGTAGAGGCAGGGTTTCACTGTGTTAGCCAGGATGGTCTCGATCTCCTGACCTCGTGATCCACCTGCCTCGGCCTCCCAAAGTGCTGGGATTACAGGCGTAAGCCACTGCGCCCAGCCAAAAATACATTTATTAGAGTAACATGTAATTTTTAAAAGTAGTTTTAGACAAAACGTAGTTTTAGACAAATCAAGACAATTTTATTTATGGCACATGAAATTTCATAGTCTTGTGCATAACACTTTACAATGAGAACTTTTGTTAACCGGGACACACTATTTTCTATGTTAATTCTTCTGACACATAGATTTATGTTTCCCTCCTAGACTTTCTTGCAAAAATGCCTGTTCGGGATTCCTCAGAGTACAGACAAAAAGGAAGGCTTGATCAGCATGTGGTGGATCTGAAGATTCAAAGAATTGCCGCGGCTCAAAAGTAGACATTTTGGTAAATGTGAAGAGTGAGATTCAATGAAGATGATAAGAAATGAAAGGTGTTACCAAAAGTGAGTATGTGCAGCTATGCTTGTCACACAAAGTAGGCTTTAAGTCAAAAAAGCACAAAAATAGAAAATAAAGGTCATTATAAAATGATAAAGGGATCAATTCAGCAAGAAGGTAGGACAGTTGTCAATGTAAACACACCTGACACAGGAGCCCCAGTTATTAAAGTAAGAGTTATTCGAGCAACAGACAGAGACAGACAATAATAGCTGGGGACTCCAAAACCCACTTTCAGCAACAGACACACCCTCTAGGCAGAAAAGTAACAAAGACCAGACTGACTCCAAGAGAAGTCAAAGGGACCTCACAGGTAATTACAGAACATTTCACCCACCAACTGCAGAACTGCATTCTTCTCATCAGCTCACAAAACGTTCTCCAGGATAGACCACATTTTAGGCCACAAAACAAATCTCAAAAAAGCATTTAAAAAATGAAAATCATAGCAAGTATCTTCTCAGACCAAAATGGCATAAAATTAAAAGCCAATAACAAGAGGAACGTTGGAAACTCTCTAGGTACATGGTATATAAATAATGGTAATGGTCAGTGAAAAAATTAAAAAGGAAAGTAACAAAAACATTTCTTGAAAAAAAAAAAAAAGGAAACAAAACAGAAAAAAATATATATGGTAGGTGTTTTTAACGTAAAAAATGCAGAACAATAAAAAAGTTAAAAGATACAGTAAAACATTTTCTGAACTAAAAATTGATTTGAATATGTTTTCTTTCATTGGTAACAAAATGACTGGCAGGGAAAGGTGTTGTCCCTGATGAGATAACATTTTATTTTTTTTTTTTGAGACAGAGTCTTACTCTGCCACCCAAGCAATTCTCCTACCTCAGCCTCCCGAGTAGCTGGGATTACAGTCATGCGCCGCCACGCCCAGCTAATTTGCTGTATTTTTAGTAGAGATGGGGTTTCACCATGTTGGCCAGGCCGGTCTCAAACTCCTGACCTCAGGTGATCCACCCACCTCGGACTCCCAAAGTGCTGGGATTATAGGTCTGAGCCACCATCACACCCAGCCGATTAGATAGGCTTTTAAAGCCGCAGCGGAAGGAGGAGCAGTGTCTGTAACCGGTGGCCAAACAGTATTAAACTCCTGGGTTGTTTTGGGAGGAGTCACTACAACTACAGCCCAACTACATTTATTATGCCAGATAACACAGTGCTGGGGGGACATACTGGAGTTGACAAGATCCCCTGGGGGCACAAGTGGCAATGGCTGTGCACCAGTGGCTGGATATTTCTGAAAAATGAAATAAAACTAGTGGTCATCCAAGAAGATGTAGAATTAATGTATTGAAAAACATTGATGAACATGGTCCAGGTCAACAGGAAAGCTGCAGGAATAATGTACACGTTCAATGCCCATGCAGCCACTGACATCACTGGCTTCGGGGTTTGGGAACAGGTACAGAATGTGACCAGGCAGCAGACGTGCTCTCTTTTTAAAAGTGCTTTCACAGGCAGGCACAGTGGCTCATGCCTGTGATCCCAGCACTATGGGAGGCCGAGGCAGGCAGATCACCGGAGGTTCTGATTTCGAGACCAGCCTGACCAACATGGTGAAACTCTATCTCTACTAAAAATACAGAAAAGTAGCCAGGCGTGGTGGCACATGCCTATAATCCCAGCTACTCGGGAGGCTGAGGTAGGACAATCACTTGAACCCGGGAGGCGGAGGTTGCGGTGAGCAGAGATCGTGCCATTGCACTCCAGCCTGGGCAACAAGAGCAAAACTCAGTCTCAAATAATAAAATAAAAAGTACTTTCACATATGACAGACATTACCAATAGTAGTGTCAAATAGCAGTTGGTGTCTTTTCATTCTATGTGTGTTTATCATATAAGTCTGATCTTTTTTTAGTGTCTTGAATGGTTTTCTGGAAAGACAGTATTGGCAAGTGACACAGGATGGTATCCCAGTTGTAAGAGGGTTGCATGATTCTTTTATCTTTGATTTGAAAAGCCTGGTCTTGGACCGGGCTCGGTGGCTCAAGCCTATAATCCCAGCACTTTAGGAGCCCCAGGTGGGTGGATCACGAGGTCAAGAGATTGAGACCATCCTGGCCAACATGGTGAAACCCCGTCTCTACTAAAAATACAAAAAAATTAGCCGGGTATGGTGGCGGGCGCCTGTAGTCCCACTGACTTGGGAGGCTGGGGCAGGAGAATCACTTGAACCCGGGGGGCAGAGGTTGCAGTGAGCCGAGATTGCACCACTGCACCCCAGCCTGGTGAGAGAGTGAGACTCCATCTCAAAAAAAAAAGAAAAGAAAAGCCTAGTTTTGGCACTCGAGCATCTCACACCCAGGACATTTTCTAGTACTGCATTCTGTTCAATACAGTAAGTGCTTCACTGCATAAAAAACACTGTGAAGACCAAAAGAAATCTTATATTTTTGTAGCCTTCCTGATATTTACAGTAATACTATTAACTGTTTATTGACAGGAAAAATGAGATATTTGCAATGTGATGTAATTAGGGTTTTTTTTTTTTAGGCCAAGTTTTGCTCTTGTTGCCCAGGCCAGAGTGCAGTGGCAGAATCTCAGCTCACTGCAACCTCTGCCTCCCGGGTTCAAGCGATTCTCCTGCCTCAGCCTCCCTAAGGAGCTGGGACTACAGGCGCCCGCCACCATGCCTGGCTAATTTTTGTATTTTTAGTAGAGACAGGTTTTCGCCATGTTCGGCAGGCTGCTCTCCAACTCCTGACCTCAGATGATGTGCCTATGTTGGCCCCACAAACTGCTGGAATTATAGGCATCAGCCACCGCGCCCAGCTGAAATTAGATGTTTCTTATTGTATGTAAAAAGGAATTGCCTTCCAAAAGAAAGTTCATGTATTATGCTCATTTGCAATATGTAATAACTATGCAAATAATTTTTAAATATAGTCAGTAACAAAGATTGTTCTGTATATGGTAGTGTTTAATACCTTTTTTTTTTTTTTTTTTCCCTGAGATGGAGTCTTACCCGTTGCCCAGGCTGGAGTGCAATAGCATGATCATGGCTCACTGCCATCTCCTCCTCCCAGGTTCAAGCAATTTTTCTGCCTCAGCCTCCCAGGTAGCTGGGACTACAGGCGTGTGTCACCACACCCAGCTAATTTTTTATTTTTAGTAGAGACGGAGTTTCACCATGTTGGCCAGGCTGGTCTTGAACTCCTGACCTCAGGTGATCCTCCTATTTTGGCCTCCCAAAGTGCTGGAATTACAGGCACCCGCCCGGCCAATACATTTTAAAAAATGTTGTATATTGATTTCAGGCCTTTTATTTTCTTAAAAGCAGCAGCTATTTAGCCTAATTCTGAGCAGTGGTTTGTTCTCTGGGCCAGTAGGATTTTATGCATGCTTTTTGTGATCCGTGTTCAAAATCTGCATTGCCAACATTGCAGCTCCAGTGTAAGCTTGTTATTCAAATAAATATTTTATTTTTAAACTTGCTTCTGTACTGTATGGCTGGGTACAATGGCTCATGCCTGTAATCCCAGCATTTTGGGAGGCTGAGGCGGGTGGATCACCTGAGGTCAGGAGTTTGAGACCAGCCTGGCCAACATGGTGAAACTCCGTCTCTACTAAAAGTAGAGTATAAGTAGTGTATAAGCCCCGGGTCCTAGGCTCTGGGTATAAGCCCCACGTTTTTTCTGGGTATAAGACTTGTGTTTCCTAGGCTCTGGGTATAAGCTCCATGTCCTAGGCTCTGAGTACAAGCCCAGTGTCCTAGGCTCAGTGTATAAGACCCGGGTCCTAAACTCTGGATATAAGCCTTGTGTCCTCGGCTCTGGGTATAAGCCTTGTGATTTAGTCTTTGGGTATAAGCTCCATATCCCAGGCTCTGGGTATAAGCTTTGTTTCCTAGGCTCTGGGTATAAGCCCCACGTCCTTGGCTCTGTGTATAAGCCCCAAGTCCTTGGCTCTGTGTATAAGCCCCAAGTCCTAGGCTCTGGGTATAAGCCCCGGGTCCTAGGCTCTGGGTATAAGCTTTGTTTCCTAGGCTCTGGGTATAAGCCCCAAGTCCTAGGCTCTGGGTGTAAGCCCCGGGTCCTAGGCTGTGGGTGTAAGCCCCAAGTCCTAGGCTCTGGGTGTGAGCCCCGGGTCCTAGGCACTGGGTATAAGCCCCAGGTCGTAGGCTCACCCCAGGATCCCCCAGCACAGGTCCAGTGGCTTCCCATTATTAGAGGTGAATGTGATCCTGGGCATCATTTATTTGGGGGAAAATTGGATTCTTTGGGGCTCCAGTTCCTCTCTGCTGCTGGCTCTCCTAGGCTGCCAGTCCCACATCCCACTTCCCCTGTGTAGAAGGGGGAAGGCCACCCCCTCCACACTCCCCCCATGAGGCTGAAAGTGGCCAAATTCTCCCATAGAAAAAGTTTGCTACTGCTTTGAATAAACAGAAATTGATCATCCCAGCCTTAAAGAAAGTTACATTTGTCTCAATGGAGTTTTCTTGGGAAACCTCCCAGAGAACAGTAGGGAGCTGAAACTTACGAGCTAGAGCTCTGGGCCTGATAGTGAGAGGCCTGCCCCTCACCCCTCCCTCAGCCCTCCGGAGTGCCTCAGCTACCTGGTGTCTGTTGACCAACGCCTTTGCCTCCCTGCTCTCTAACTCCTGTTTTTCCACAACTGGTTACATTTCTTCTTGGCCAGGCCTCCAGGACCCCCACCCTCTGCACTGCCCTGGATGCTGACGAAGGCTGTCCTTCCCCCTCCCTAACCAGCTCCTCCCCTCCTCCCACCTTTGGCCATGCAGAGGCCCAGCTACACTGTGCCTCTGCCTCTGAGAAATGGCTGGGGGTGCGCTGCGGGGGAGCCTGAAGCTGGGGTAGGGATGGGGGGTTGGGGAGAGGGCGTTGTTCTCAGAGTCTTCTGGGTCGCAACCCCAGCAACCCCAGCAGTACCAGATCTTGCATCCCCACCTGGTTTCCTTGCCCGCTGTGCAGTGGAAAGGGCGCACCTGTTTGAAAGGAGCGGCTGTGCTTGCAGAGGTGCGCTGACCCAGGATACTGGTGGCCTTTCCAGCACCCGCCTGTCTGGCAGCTACCGCCCCACGCTCCTATCCCTGCCTAGTGGCGCCCCGCTGCTACCGCGTCCTGTTCTGACCTCTGCCAGCCCGCGCCCCGCTCCCCTCCGCGTCCTGCTCCTGCCCGCGTTCTGTACCTGCCCGCGCCCCGCTCCTACGCGTGCGCCGCTCCTATCCGTGCCCCGCTCCTAGCTAAGCCCGGCCCGTGCCCACTCCCACCCGCCGCCTTGCGCTGCCCCTTCCGGCTCCTCGCCAGCAGCCGGCACCCGCCTAGCCCAACAGTGACAGAGCAGGGCGCGCAGCCGCTGAGTGCTCTGGAGTCCCTGCCCCGAGGTGCCACGCCCACGTCGGCCTCACCCGGGCAGGCATGGGGCGGTCGGGCTTAGCGCCGCACCCCGCCGGCCAGAGCCACTGTCTCTCCAGACGCGGCCCCAGCGCCCACTGGGGATGGCAAAGACGACATCCGGTGCGCCGAGGCTGCTCACAAAAGTAAGTCTTGCTGGCTGCAGGCGCCCGCATCGGCCAGTGCAAAGGTGGCCCAGAGTGCCAAGCGGCGGAGCCGAGGCTTTGAGAAGCACCTTTCTGCTTGCGCTGGGCAGCGGGCTGCGTGTGACTGGCCACCTGGCCTCGGCTGGGAGCGCACTGGTGGCGGGCGGCGGGCAGGTCTCTGACAGGAGCAGGCGCCCGCGGGCAGCGGGGCTGGTGCCCAGAACCTAGCGCAGTGGGAGTTCCCAGCGTGGTTGTCCCAAGCGCCAAAGCCGGTGTCCTGAAGCAAACAGGACAGCTCTTTCGGGGCAGGTGTGGGCGAAGGGGCAGGGAGCCCAGGAAGCCACGAGTGGCACGGGTCTGCTGTTTTTGAAGGAGATGGTGCAGTCCTGGTTTCCTTTTTTAAAATTTTATTTTATTATGCTTTAAGTTCTGGGGTACATGTGCAGAATGTGCAGGTTGGTTAACAGGTATACATGGGCCATGGTGGTTTGTTGCACCCATCAACCTGTCATCAACATTAGGTATTTCTCCTAATGCTATCCCTCCCCCCAGCCCCCAACAGGCCCCAGTGTGTGATGTTCCCCTCCCTGTGTCCATGTATTCTCATTGTTCAACTCCCACTTATGAGTGAGAACATGTGGTGTTTGGTTTTCTGTTCCTGTGTTAGTTTGCTGAGAATGATGTTTCCCAGCTTCATCCATGTCCCTGCAAAGGACAGGAACTCATCCTTTTTTATGGCTGCATAGTATTCCATGGTGTATATGTGCCACGTTTTCTTTATCCAGTCTATCATTGATGGACATTTGGGTTGGTTCCAAGTCTTTGCTATTGTGGAACAGTGCCGCAATAAACATATGTGTGCTTGTGTCTTTATAGTAGAATGATTGATAATCCTTTGGGTATATACCCAGTAATGGGATTGCTGGGTCAAATTGCATTTCTATTTCTAGATCCTTGAGGATGTGGAGAAATAGGAACGCTTTTACACTGTTGGTAGGAGTGTAAATTAGTTCAACCATTGTGGAAGACAGTGTGGCGATTCCTGGTTTCCTTTTTGAGCTCTACCTTCCTCATTCCTCCTCCAGCTCTGCCACTTTGGCTGGCAGAGGAGTGCAGAGGCTCTCTTTGGCAAGGTTGCTTTGCTCTCCTGCGTTTTTGCCACCTGGTCTTTAAAAACCTAAAAGCCTGTGGTTTCTGGGGTGGCTCCCTTGGAGGGGCTGCAGTGGGCTGAGACCCAGCCTGCAGCCTGGGAGTTCTGTGCCGCTGTCTGGGAGGGCACCTGAAGATGTGGCTTTGGGGCCATGGGAGGTCAGGGACAACACTTACGGGTGCAAGTTTTGGGGCTGGGTGTCAGGGCCAGGGGTGCTGCTGCACTGAGGATGAGGTGCAGGGTGTGGTGTTGAGTGTCAGGGGCAGAGTTGCTGCAGTGCAGAGGACAGAGGTGGTGCAGGGCAGGGTTCCCGGGCATGAAAAGGCAGGGGTGACAGAGCAGGAGCACCGTCATCTCAGACAAACACTGCCACTTTAAGTTCCAGCTCCCTTTCTAGCCCCATGCATTTCAAGGAAATCACTTCACTTCTAACTACAAGCAGCAGCCAGAAAGAGCAGGCAGTAAAAGATAAGACAGCTTGGGCACAGAGGGAGGTGGGGGGAGGGGGGAAAGTCTCTCAAGTAACTACCAAACTTCACCCTCATACAATGGGCCCCGGTAAACCAGTGGGCCTTAATAATCACTGTCCTTTCCCTTCAGATGCACTAAGATAGGGAAGCTAAAGCAGACTCGGGGGAGGGGGGAGGTATGCCTGCGGCTGAAGCAAGATGTATGGGAACAGACACACAATTCTCCCTTCCAGATAAGCACAACAAAGAGACATAGGAGCAGTGCAAGCCTCTGATAAACTCTCCCACCCTGAATCCTTAAAAACTTTTAGCATGTAGGGGAGTGCGGCTTCTGACTTAACTTGGACAAAAGTCCCTCCCAGGTTTGAAATAAACCTGCTGACTATTGAGCCACCCTCCGTGTTTCTCTCCTCTTTAATTCTTACAACCCCTCCTTCTGAGATGGAGATGTTTCCAGCTGGGGAAACTGAGGCTCAGAGAGAGTCGACTAAGGGAAGGCAAGAAAGGGAGGCAGAGCCCCCTGCAGGCCCTCCTCACCCGAGGAACCGAGAGAAGCCAGGGCCAGGGCCTGCCTTGCAACCCACTCTGCCTCCACCTCCCCTTGTGGGACCTCGGGGTGGCCCCATTTCCCTTGTGCGGGTGAGGAGCTCCTTTTTGCTGCCTGATGTTTTGGATCCTGAGCCCACACCCAGGCAGGGCTGTCTCCTCTCCCTGTAGTTGCTGAGGCCATCAGGCCGCAGGCTTCACCTCTGTTCTCTACTGGGTGATCCTCTGGTCAGGTCCCTGGGTGTGCATGTGGAGGAAGGTGTGCATCCGTGTGCATGTGTGTCCACACATGTGAACACAGGTGTATGCATGTGTGCACGTATGCAAGTGTACAGGGGTGCACCCACATGAGGCTCCCCAGACCTTTTCCCCAGGAGAAGACCATATCTCCCCCTGGTGTCAGGTGTCCACTCAAGCCCTCCAAGGGTGGGGATGGGGAGAAGGGAAAAGTGCCTGGGATGCCAGGCAGGAGTGCAGGCTCAGATGGGCCCTGAGGTGGTCACAGAGCTGAGCCAGGCATCCAGTCTGTGCAGCAGCCAAGATGTGGCCAGAGAGGTTCCTGGGAGGTGGGGGCGGGGGGGTGCTATTCAGGCCCACCCCCTTCTCTCTTCATTCTCCTAGGGGACAGTCACAGGAGCTTGTCTGTTGCCAAAAGTCCCCCTCAGCCCCTCCCTACCTACAATGTCCCTTCCCTGGGCATAGGCCTGAGTGTGAAGACTGTGTAGCTGCTAGCAACAGAAACGGGGCTTGTATGCACCCAAGGGAGACAACTCCAGCTCTGTAAAGCCTGGCGGGGGTGGGTGGCAGGCAGCAGAGGGTCCAGTGGTTTAGGGTACCTCTCGTGGGCTGGCTGCCCACACCACCTACCCCTCAGCAGGCCGGCTCTGGACATAGCGGTTGGCCAAGTCCGAGCCAGCCCGTCTTGGCAACTCCTCCTCCTGCCTGCCAGGGTGACTTCACTTTTTCAGATCTGCAGTGATGTGCAGATCACTGATTCAGCCCTGAGCTCAGCCAGGATGCAGGAGAAAGAGGAGGGGCTGGCCCCGGGGCACCCCAGGCCCAGCTTCCTGGGCCCTCCCACCCCATGGCCCCATGGGCTTCCCTTCCTCCATCTGTCTGTGGCTGGGTGCAGGCCAGACCTCAAGAGGCAGCTGGGGGATATGGAAAGAAAAGGGACTTTCCCCACAGAAGCCCAGAACCCACCTCCTACCTCACCCCAGGACCCCCCTGACAGGTCCATGGCTTCCCCTTGTTAGAGGTGAATGTGATGCTGGGCATCATTTCTTCGGGGGAAAACTGGATTCTCTGGGGCTCCATGCTGGCTCTCCTAGTCCCACACCCCGTGCTTTCCTGTGTAGAGGAGGGAAGGCCCCCCCCCACACTCCCCCAATGAGGTGGAAAGTAGCCAAATTCTCCTGTAGATGTTTACTGCTTCTTTGAATAAATGTAGAAATTGATCCTCCCAGTCTTAAAGAAAGTTACATTTGTCTCACTGGAGTTAGTTTCTCTGGAAACCTCCCAGAGAACAGTAGGGAGTTGAAACTTACCAGCTCGGGGCCTGACATTGACAGGCCTGCCCCTCACCCCTCTGGACTGCCTCAGCCACCTGGTGCCTGTTGACCAACGCGTCTGCCTCCCGCCTCCCTAATTCTTGTTTTTCCAAACCTGGTTACATTTTTCCCAGGCCTGGCCTCCAGGACCCCCACCCTCTGCACTGCCCTGGATGCTGACAAAGGCTCTCCTGCCCCCTTCCCTGCCCATATCTTCCCTTCCTCTGGCCTCTAGCCCCACAGAGGCTGAGCTCCACCGAGCCTCTGCCTCAGGAGAAATGGCTGGGGATGCGCTCTGGTTGGGGGAGCCTGGAGCTGGGGTAGGGATGGGCGGTTGGCGGGGAGGGTGGTGTTCTCAGAGTCCTCGGGTCACAACCCTAGCAGTCTCAGATCTTGCATCCTGCACGGCTTCCCTGCTGTCTTTGTGCAGCAAAAAGGGCAAAGCACAGGGACTGCAGGCAGGTGCACCTGGTGAAAGGAGGGGCTGTGCGTGCAAAGGCGAGCGGACCCAGGTTAGTGGTGGCCTTCCCAGCACCACGCCCTGCTCCCACCTCTGCCGGCCGGCTTTGCTCTTACCCGCGCCCCGCTCCTGTGGCGACCCGCTCCTATCCCTGCCTGGCCCGCTCCCCGCTCCTGCCCCTGCCCCTGCCCCTGCCCCTGCCTGGCCCCCGCCCCGCTCCTGCCCTTGCACAGTCCGCGCTCCTCTCCTACATGCCGCCTGCGTGCTTCCCCTGCCTGCTCCTCTCGCGCACGGCGCTCGCCTGGCGGGCAGAGACCAGAGCAGGGCGTACAGCAGCTCAGATTGCCCAGGAGTCCCTGCCCAGAGGTGCCATGCCCACAGTGTCCCTCGGGTCCACCAAGCCCTGGGCAGGCATGGGGCGACCGGGCTGAGCGCCGCACCCCGCCCCGCAGAGCCGCCGGTCAGAACCACCGTCCTTTCTGCGCGACCCCGGTGCGCAGGGGCGAAGGAGACATCCGGTGCTGCCGCCGCTGCTCGGCAAAGGTGAAAGTCCCGCCGGCTGAGGGTGCCCGCACGGGCCAGCGCGAAGGTGGCCCCGTGCGCACAGCGCCCTGATAAGCGCTTTTCTTCTTGTGATGGGCAGCGGGCTGAGCGTCGCAGGCCACCCGGCCTCAGCTTGGAGAGCATTGGCATGGCAGGTCTGCGGGAGCAGGCGCCGGCCTGGCAGCGGGCTTGGTGCCCAGAACCCAGCCACAGCCGGAGGTCCCAGTGTGGCTGCCCCTCCCGCCAAAGCCGCCTCCCGAAGTAAACAGGACAGCCCTTTCTGAGCAAGCATGAGCAGAGGGCCGGGGAGCCCAGAAGTCGCCACTGTCCTGGGCCTGCTGTTTCTGCAGCAGATGGCCCAGTCCTGAGTTCCCTTCTGCGCTCTACCTCCCTCATTCCTCCTCCAGCTCTGCTGCTGGAGTGGAGCTGTCTCTTAGGCAAGGCTCCTTTGCTCTCCTGCATTTTTGCCACTCTGGTCTTTAAACATCTAAAAGCCTGTCGTTTCTGGGGTGGAGCCCTTGGTGAGGCTGCCGTGGGCCTCAACCCACCGGGCAGCCTGGGAGTTACGTGCTGCTGCGGACAGAGCACCTGAAGATGCGGCCTTCAGGGCCATGGGAGGCTCAGGGCCAACACTTACCGGTGCGGGTTTTGGGACTGGGTGTCAGAGGACAGGGGTGCTGCTGTGCTGAGGACGGGTGGGGCAGGGCGGGTGGCCCGGGCGTCAAAAGGCATGGATGGTGCTGTGCTGAGGATGGGGTTCAGGGTGGCGGGGCTGGGATTCAGGGCAGGGGTGCTGCTGTGCTGACAGCGGGTGCAGGGCCGGGGGCTCGTTTTCAGGGGTCAGGGTGGGGGAATGGGTGTCGGGGCAGGGGTGCTGCTTTGCTGAGAACAGGGTGCAGGGTGGGGGGCTTGGTTTCGTGAGATAGGGGTGCTGCTGTGCTGAGGACGGGGTGAAGGTTGATGGGCTGAGGGTCCACGGACAGGGGTACCGCTGCGCTGAGGACAGGGAGTGCCGCGTGGGGCCTGGGTGCCAGGGTTTGGGGTGCAAATATAGTGAGATCAGGATGCATTGGGGAGAGTGCCGCAGGGACCTCGGGAGCTGTCACATGGCAGGGAGAGGCCGCAGTCAACACCCTGTGTCATGATTTCTTCCCCACCTGTGTGTGGCCAGGCGCAGGGGACTAGACAGTGGCTGCCAAACAGGGAGTGCACCCCGGCGGTGGCTGTAGGGGACCACGACAGTGGGGCCACCTCTCCCTGCGTGTCTGCACTTGGGCCTGCCAGGGCTGTCTGCCATGCTCCATGGGGTGGGGGTCTTCGGCCCCTGGGAGGCTGCCGGTCAGTGTGACTCAGAGAGGTTGCGGTCAGGGGTCCCCTGGGGGCTGTGATGCAGTAACTAACTGCACCCTTTGGGGCTGGGAGGGGTGAGAAGGTTCTAGGCCTCCCAGAGCCCACCTGGCTCCTCCATCAGAAAGGCAGCCAGGCTTGGGGTTGAGGAGGTGATGCTGTGCCCCCTGAGGCAGGCTCCACTTTCCCCAGGGGACCTTGGAGGATAGGCCCTCTCCTGACCCACGCTCAAGGACACTTGGCAGCCCCTGTGGTCCTGCCCTTTCTCCCAGCCTTGGCCTCCCTCCCGGAGCTCTAGGGTGAGGCCCAGGCCTGGGAATGGCTCTGAGATCATCCCTGGGCCTCCGTGGAGCTCTGGTGTCACGGCTGTGTGGTTGTGGGGGCCTCGGGGACTCCTCTCTCCTCTGCCCCTGAGCCTGAAGGCCATGAGGCCTGTGGAGGGATACCTGAGCTGTCCCCTCTGACACCCCGGACAAGGTGGGAGTTGGGCAAGAGCAGGCAGTGAGGTGTCCTTATTCCTGAAGCTGCTTTCTGCTTGGCTCCTGCCCCCTAGAGAGCCCGGGGCAGGGAGACGGTGCAGGCAGGACCTCGAGGGCGGCAGTTCAGCCTCCCCTGGGTCTTGGAGGGACTGGCATTTAGCTCTGAGCAAACATCTCTGTCGGCTTTTGCGTCATGGATGGCTCCACAAATTACAGCAGCCCAGTCACCACCACAGGTCCTCTGTGCACCTGGACGGGTGTGCACCCACCTGGTTCAGGCTTTCCTCCCTGACACTAGTGATACCAGAGGAGCTGGGGCCAGCTCGGGAGATGTCTGCAGCCCTGCAGGCCCAGGTCCTGGGGCACCAGAGCCGCTTCCCAGATTTGGGTGCTGGCAGTGGTGCTTCCGGTCCTGGCCCTGGGCTCCTCTGTGCCCTGAGCTGCTGATGTCTGTGTCCTGCAGAGCCCAGCGTTCCAGGGAAGCACCTGGGGGGCAGTGTGGCCCTGGGCAGGAGGCAGGGGAGGCAGGACAGGGGCCATCCCAGTCGCTTCCAGGTCCCTCCTGTGTCTCCATGACTCTAGAAAATTCTCACCCTTGGGTTCCTAAAAGAGAAAAAATGTAGTTGCCTAGAATTTAAGTCATGACCCTGGGGGATGCTGGGGGAGATGTGCACTCCGGGTGCCAGGACCTGAGGGTGGGGATCTGGGGGTGCAGCGTGAGCCGGGGTGGGCGAGGGTGGGGAGCTGGGGGTGCAGCTTGATGCAGGGTGGGCGAGGGTGGGGAGCTGGGGGTGCAGCCTGAGGCGGGGTGGGCGAGGGTGGGGAGCTGGGGGTGCAGCATGAGCCGGGGTGGGCGAGGGTGGGGAGGGCTTCCTGGGTTTCTTCCTCACACTTTAGTTGCCACTGAAGCTGGCACAGACCTGGCAGACGGAACTGGTCCTGGGTGGGCCAGTGGTTTTGTTCTGGTCTTCTCCCCCTCCCACTCCTCCACCGTGGCCTGTAGGGTGTCTGCTGCACCCTGGGAAGCCCCAGCTCCCTTCCAGCCTGACACTGAGCAGAGGTGGGGCTCTGGGCCCGGCCCTCCTCACCTGGGGAAACGGGGCTCACAGGCGCTTGGTGACGTGGGCACGTTGCTCTTCCGTGGCAAGAGGCCAGCCTTGGCTGTGGGACCCAGCACCGGTGGGCAGCCCCCAGGTCATCTCTGCAGGAGACTCCTCTGGCAGGTCACACACAGGACGCCCCACAGAGCTTTGAAAAGTCGTGACCCAGGAAGGGCTCGAATCTTCTTTGCTCGCCCAGCCTCCAGACCACCAGTACCTGTGAGGGCAGGTGAGACTGTATTTGGGGACAGGAACACCCCCAGTCTCGGGAGCTAATGCCGTCCACTCGTGTCCTGCTTGTGGCACAGCCTGGCATGTCCTCCAGGCTCTGGGACTGGTGGCCGCACCTCCAGCCCATGTACCCGGCCGTGTGCTCAGAGGAACACAGAGCCTCGAGGAGCCTGAGGCTTGAGGAGGTTTGAGGCCTGGGAAGGGCCGTTGTCACTTTGCCTGTGTTCCATGGGATCCGGTCACACAGCCCTTCTCACCTCAAGGGAGGCTTGGAATACAGAGGACACAGGGCTGGGGGTGCTCAGGGGTGTGCCTGCACACGCTCCTGCACACGGCTCTTCTGCCCTTGTCCTGGCCGCACAGCAGGGGCTGGTGGTGGGCCCAGCAGCTGGGGGGCAGGGAGGGGAAATTGGGGTGGCAAATAATTACGGTTTACTTTTTTTTTTTTTTTTTGAGACGGAGTCTCGCGCTGTCGCCCAGGCTGGAGTGCAGTGGCGCAATCTCGGCTCACTGCAAGCTCCGCCTCCCGGGTTCACACCGTTCTCCTGCCTCAGCCTCCTGAGTAGCTGGGACTACAGGCACCTGCTACCACGCCCGGCTAATTTTTTGTTTTTTTGTATTTTTAGTAGAGACGGGGTTTCACCGTGTTAGCCAGGATGGTCTCGATCTCGTGACCTCATGATCCACCTGCCTCGACCTCCCAAAGTGCCGGGATTACAGGCGTGAGCCACCGCGCCCGGCCCAAAGTTATCCATTTTTAAGTGGGAGATTTGTGGCATTCAGCACCGTTAGAGCTTTGCACAGGCATCGCCTCTGTGTAGTTCCAAGACATTTCCATGGCCCCAAAAGGAAACCCCATACGTATTAAACAGTTGCTCCCTGCTCTCCCCTCCCCCGGCCCCTGGGTTCTGTCTCTGTGGCCTCGCCTCTTCGGGACATTTCACCTGGACCTTTGTCTGGCTTCTGTCACTCAGCATAAGGTCTTCTGGGCTCCTCCACACTGTGGCATGCAACAGGCCCCGTTCCTGAGAGGGGTGAATAGTGTTCCATCACCCGTTCATCTGGGGACAGACATGTGCGTGCCTTCCACCCTTTGGCGATTATGAAAAGTGCTGTCAGGGACATTCCCGTTACAAATGCCTGAGTCTCTGCTCTCAGTTCTCTTGGGTACGTACCTAGGCCCCAGGTGTGAAATTGCTGGGTAATTATTTTGTTTTTTGAGGAGCTGCCACGCTGTTTTCCACAGTGGTTGAGTCAGATAACTCTGGCCATCCAGTGGGTGCACGGCGTCATCTCCCCTGTGGCTCTGGCTTGCCTTTCCCTGGTGACAGTGCTGCTGGACACCTTTTCCTGGGCTTGCTGGCCAGTTGCCTCTCATTGGAATGGCATCTCTTTGAGCCCTCTGCCCGTTGTCTGCATTTGGAAAACCCAACAGCCTGTCCCATTTTTAGTGTCCTGAGTTTAAGCATTTCTCTGCCGAAACAATCAAGCAGCTTCATCCAGAGGCATCTTCATCAGTGCCTGAGCCCCCGTCCATTTCGAGGAGGGCGTGGGATCATCTGATTTCTCCCATGGGCACTGAGTCACCACCATCCTCGGGAACCCCGGGAACATTCCCAGAAGACCTCCTTCCCCCAAACCTCAGCTGTGCCCGGACCCCCTCCCCACCCAGGCAGAGGGCTGCATGTCGTTGTAGGGGTGTCAGGAGACTTGGGTCCCGGTCACAGTTCCACCATGAGTGTGAGATGCGAGTGCTGCGCCTCCGTTTCCCCGCACAGAATGGGGAGAGGGATGTCCGTGTTCTTCAGTGGGTGGCTCAGGCCGGGTGTTGGAGGAAGAACCTCGAGGAAGAGAGGGCTGTGCCTGTGTGGGCAGAGATGGTGGCGCCTCCGAGGCCAGGGCTGACTCCCATCTCTGCTCCTCCTCCTGCTGCTCCTCCAGGCCACCCCCTCCTGTCTGGGGGCCCAGGAGGAGAGGTGTCTGCAGAGGCCCTGCACCCCACACTGGGTCACCTGCTCCACATGTTGGGAAGAAGGAATTTAAGTCTAGAACTGAGACTGCACTGCCATGACGGTGACTGTTGTCCTCATTGGACACCAGGGAGGTAGCTGTCGTTGGCATTTATTGAGTGCCTGGTGTATGCACTAGGCTGTTCATGCATCTGCAGAGCCCAGGGTTTTCTTGATGGTTTGGCAGAGAGATGCTTAAACTCAGGGCACTAGGAATAGGACAGGCTGTCAGGTTTTCCAGATGGAAGCACTGGCTTGTAGATGAGTGCAGCTGGACCGTGGAGCCATGAGCTGAGGCAGCTGTTCCCAGAGTGAGGCTCCTGTGGACCATCCTGTCACTCTAGCCTGCTCCAGACCTCTCCACCCTTGCTCAGTGCAGGGCATCAGGCCATGGCAGATGGGCGACCTGATGCCTCGTTCTGCCCCTTCCTTTTATGTTTAGACACAGCCAGTGTCCAGCATACATGTTCCAATAGAGGTCACAAGATGGACAGAACAGATTCTGTGGCAGTAAGGTACCAACGTGTAAACAGCACCTGCAGCCATGCCAGGCAGGGGTTGAGTCACACACCCCTAAACAAGGAATAAACTGTTCCGACTGCCACAGGGTTTCTTTTCCTCTAGCAGCTAAATAAGCACTATTAACAGTTATAGCACACCACCAGACACTGAGTAACTGGCCCCCAAGCCCTGTTCCACCAGCCATAACTAGAGCTCCAACTGGACGGGAGACCGATTTCAGTAACTCTCTCGCGGGAAGAGATCACTCGCCATGGGCTGGCTCTGGCCGGTTTACAGAGGCTGTGCACTTGTGTGCCTTTGTGTCCTGAAAAGACCTTTTGAGGATAGGGCCTAATTGTAATACATTTAAATGTTATGTCTCCACCCCATGGTGAACATGGGTCCTATGTTACATGTATGTTTGTTTGGTATGCATGCATCAGGACCATCCTCGTGAATATTCACAGCTCCTCCTGTAACCTGTCGAAGGTTTCTATTCAGCCAGCCTGTGCAGCGTAAAGCTCCTGTCCCAACTCCCCCTCCTTCCATGTGCCAGGCTCTGGCCTTGGCAGGAGGCACGCTTCCCAGCCTGCAGGATGGCCACCTTGCGGGCTATAAACTTTCATAAGAAATCAAGTCTCTGGTTGTGGCAGAAGCTCCTTGGTTTAATTAGGTCTTATACCAGGCCTCAGCGACACGATGTACCCATGTAACAACCTGCACATGAAGCCCCTGAACCTAAAATGAAGTGAAGAAAAAGAGTCTCCTCTTGTTTTCTGAATGTATAAATGTTGTGATTTTTTTTAAGTTAACAGAGTGAATGAAATGCTTCCTTTGTAGAGCAGCATTTCAGGTCTACGTTAGCTTTCATTACCCTGTTACTCCATAACCCTCTGGTTAATTTCCCTGAATGTGTGTGTTTACTTGACAGTCAACCCACAGTGGCTGAAGCAGCAGGAAAACACACAGGTGTCTTACCCTTGACCTGGGTCATACAGCGGCAGGTCTTTTATCTCATGTTTGAGAGGTATCTCTGTGCTGGAGGTTTTCAAACGGGAATTTGCATGTGGCTTTTTAAACATGTTTGCAATTTCTCTGCTATTCTCCTCTTTGAGAGGTGGGCGTCTATGCCTCTTCTCATGAGGCCAGGCACTAGTGCTCACTTGTCACTGCCAGGTGATGTGGAGGGGATGCTGAGAAACTTCCCAAGCTATGTTTGAAAAGGCCACGAGTCTCTTTCTGGTTTACTCCAGTCACTCACCTGTGGCGCCCTTGGCCGCTCAGTCAAGGCTCTGAATATCCTGAGACTGCCCCACTGCTTGGAAGCCCCGGACACCAGAGAGTTTCCTGTAGGTCCTCCAGCCGAGCCCGATGACCCCGGCAGGCCCGGGAGTGATGTCCCCCTCTGGATGATCCCAACCCCTTGCTGTGGATTCAGCCCCAGCCGGTGAGCCTTCTCTGCAGGCCCCAGACATCAACACGTAGCGAGAAGATATCTTTTCTGTGTTTTGCGTGAATTCCTATCCCTGTGAAGCGTCAACAAAAGAAAATGGTTGTTTTACACCAGCATTTTGGGGTATCTATATGTTTTTAATAAAGTCACAATAAACGCACCAGGAATAACACACTTGCAGCACATTCACAAGGTACAGAAGAAGACACACTGAAGTCTGCGTTTCCTCCTTTCCCTCTTCTGCAGCCTGCCAGCTCCTGCCTCTGGAAGAAATGGCTGTTTAGTTTTTGTACATTTTTCCAGATTTATTAATTGAACAATCATATAGCGCTGACACCGTGACAAAGCTTTCTGAGGGCTTTGCCTACCAATGTGAAAGAGCCATTTAGTTTTCATTCCCTGTAAACACTCAGGTGGCAGCAGGAAGGAAAGCCGTTTGCTCTTTTTAACTATTCCCTATAAATGAGCTGCGTTTTTAAAAGTAGCTTTACAATGCTGTTCCTCCAGTGAGATGGTTTTATTTTTTTACTGTATTCTGTATTTTTTAAAACAATTTCTTCCCCAATTTGCATTGGAGATGTGAATCTGTTTTCCAGTTTTTCCTTAAGTCTCACCACTGTCTCTTTCTCTGTCTCATGCATATATATATATATATATATGCATATACATGTATATGTATGTATGTATATATGCAAGTATATGTATATTATGTGTAAACAAACACACATTTTTCTGTTCAGTTAACAATTACAATTCTCCATTTAGACAGGTAATATTACTTACTCCTTCCCAAATCCTGTCTGTCACCTTCTCAATTAGGTAATCCCTGAAAAATTGGCAAGGTCTGTATTAATGCAGTTTTTATACCTCATCAGTGCCCATTTGATTTGATAGTTCTTAAAGCTTGTGATGAATCTGTGGTGATGGAAATTTTCACTGAGCCATTTCATATCTTAATGGGTATCCACTTTGTCTTAAACATGGTAACTCTCTCGTTTTTATTCTCTAATTTTCAGTTGTTGTGTCTTTTGGGGACCTTGTCAGTTGCCTTCCAAGTGCTAATTCTCATGACGAGATAAGAATGGCTATGACTGGGTGTTGATTGATGAGTCGAACACATTGAATCCTGGAGTTTGAGGTTATCAGAACTCCCCACTTAGAAAATCATCCTTTATATTTTAGAAAATCATCATTGTATGTTGAACATACAATGCTTCTTTTTTCTTCATCTCCAGGTGAGTGAATAGACAATCTTTCATGTATACTTTCACAGAGAAATCTCTCAAGAACTCAGAGAGATTCGGAAATTAGTAAGTCTGCAACTTAGTTACATACAGAGAAAAACAGTAGATAATATAGATAGGTGATAAGATATTTTATACAATTACTATGAGTTATATTCTTAGAGATCGACTTTTAAAAATTGAATTTAGGCTGGGCCCAGTGGCTCCCTCCTGTAATCCCAGCATTTTGGGAAGCCAAGGTGGGTGGATCACCTGAGGTCAAGAGTTCAAGACCAGCTTGGCCAACACGGTGAAACCCCATCTCTACTAAACGTACAAAAATTAGCTGGGCGTGTTGGTGCATGCCTGTAGTTCCAGCTACTCGGGAGGCTGAGGCAGCAGAATCACTTGAATCCGGGGGGCGGAGGTTGCAGTGAGCCAAGATCGCACCACTGGACTCCAGCCTGGGTGACAGAGCGAGACTCTGGTCTCAAAAAAAAAAAAAAAAAAAAAATTGAATTTATACTAAGGCATTTTAAACTTTCATCTGGAATAAATTTAAAATTGTTGAATATGGAAATTGCTGATGACTCAGGAATAGTAAGAGGGATGGGGATAGTATTTCAAGTCAAGGAAGGAACCTCATTTTATTCTGAATGTGTTAGTTTTGACCCTCTTCACCCTGAAGTTTTCACTATCAAATATATTTGGAAGGCAGGTCTTCTTTCCTCATTTAACGTTTATTTCATACACAGAGAATAGTACTGTGGGTGTGGGATTCAGATTTTGATTTTGAAATGAACTCTGAGTGGCCCCTTGTCCTTGTGAAAGTGCACTGGTCTAGAGAGCGGCAGTTGGACCCCAGAGTGTGGCACGTGTTCCTGTGTTCATTTGAACATTCTCTGATGACCTGTCGCTGAGGTCCTGTGATGATGCGTATCCTGTCTTCCACCCCAACTGCCACTGTGTTTCAACTGTCGCTGGCTGTGTTTCAACTGCCGCTGTGTTGGAACTGCCAGCTAGACTGCTCACCAAAATGGGAGGCAGCCTCTGCTGCTGTGGTGAAGGTGAAGGTAGGTTCATTTCCATCTTCTCACTGCAGTTTCTTCAGATGGGCCACTTGTACTTAAATGTTTTCCTGATTTATGTATTTTTCCCCCACCTCCAGTTTGTCTAGAGATTTACAAATTGGTTTTAGAGTTTTATGACTCAGTTTGTATTTTTGATTCTGCTATCAAGCTTTCTGCCTTAAATATTTTCCTCTGTTTAGAAAAATGTACTGTTTCCAAGGCCAATTTTATACACACTTGCATAGAATAGACCCAGAAGAAACGCAACAGCATTTCCTTGGTCATATCGGGAGATCTTGATACCGATGACAGTGTGAGACGTTCCATGAAAGGCAGATGACAGGCCAAAGTCCTCTAAATTGAGATGTGAAAATCTTAAATCAAATGTTGAAACAGCTGGAATCCAGAGATGTTTAGAAAATAAACTGCGATCTTCTGGTGGGAAACGCAGTGGCCTAGTGAAGAGGTTTTGAGGATTGTTTTAAATTAAAGACCTTTTGAAAACATAAACACAATCAAGTGGATATACAAAGTTACAAAATAGAAAAATTATTAGAGGTTATAAAAGGTTTATGAAAATCTTACTTTGTAGTCAAAACTGACGGGGGTAGATAGATTTATTGATAAGGTCTTCTTAAAATTAGCTACAATATTAAAAATACAGTAATACCAAACTAAAATTTTGGTTTAGAAATAAGCTTTTGTTAAGATAGATAATTTGTTCTCAATGAAATTATAAGAGGTAATAATTTTTTCTTCTGAAATCTGTTTTTTTTTTTGTTAAACTTCTCAGATTTATACCTCAGAGGTTTGAATTTTTCTGTGTCTCTTTACACCTAAGTTACAGGTCCCACATCATTGCCTTCTGTTTCTTTTCCCCTGGAAAAGGCGCATCTTTATACTTGGCTTGGATGATAACTCTCTCCTTTAAATTTTCATCCGCCCCCACCCAGGTTCTAATTCTGCTGCTGTAATACTAAAATGCTTATTTTAAAGGTCTGAAATACTAATGTTTGCCTCAGATGTAAAATGATTTTGTACTCTTGGCCTTTTGCTATGTCTTGATTGTTTCAGGTGATCAGGAAGCCTCCCATGCTGTTAGTTAGAGCCAGGTATCCCCCCGCTCAAGTTACTAGCAGTTCTGTTTACACTTCTCTGTAATACAGTATTCACGCATGACTGAACACACGCTGTGTCTCATTAAATTCGAGTACCCTTCTCATGAGGTGTGACTTCCAAGTTATTCAATAGGCTTCATTTAAACACTGCCCATTCTCAGGCAGGCCTTAGTTCAGCCTGCTCAGATAGTTGCTCAGATAAGTAGTCAGTGAGACAGTGGGGGTCACAGATTTAATTCATTCAGTCACTTAAGCGCCAGCCCTGATGGCCACATTTTCAGTGAACTGCTCACGCAGGGTTGGTCAGTTGAAGGGAAGTTGATTCTTGGCACAGCCATCAGGTGGCGGTTGGCTTAGAATGTTCTGAGTTCTGAGCCATCTTGGGGACCAAGTAGACCGTCGGTCCCTTGGGGTGTTCACTGGTCATGAGGGCTGCCTGTATGAACACTGCCTACTTCACAGTGATGCGGGCGGCTTAGCCAGGGACCCGAGGCTGTGTCTCCCAGGGCTCTCCTGATGGCGTCCTTTGCCTGCCTTCACCACCAGGGAGGGTGGCCCAGCAGCAGCTCCGCCCGTGCTCTCACCCACCTCCTCCACACACACCAGCCCTGTGTCCTCAGCACCCAAGGCTGCCAGAGGTCCTTCAGCAGCTGCCACGGCTGACAGTGACTCTATGTTTCCTAGGCTTCTTCTACCGCCAGAATTGGCGGTTTCTCTCGCTGGATTCTTGGGACCTGATCCAGGCAGCACACTCGGTAAAGTCTTCTTTCTTTGTCTGAGATGGGAATTTTATTTCTTTTGGTTTCTTTCTATTTTCTCTGAATTAAGATATGTAATTCTTACCACGGACTTTACAGATGAGCCACAGAATTTCTTGGTGGGCAGAGGTATGTGAGAGCCCATTCATTGCCAACTTGGAACTTGTTCCAGATGGCACTCATAGATGACAGTGTTAGTGACAGACTGCATGGCAGAGAGCATTGTCCTCAGGAGAAATGCATTCTTGAAAATAGGGGTGACTTTGCAACCAAAAATCGTTTTTGAAAATCTCATACAACACTCTTGTGCATTTCCTCAAGTGTCTTCCAGGCTTTATTTGGGGGCCGTTGCCTCGAGCACCATCTCCCAACCAGATTTCTAATGTCACCAAGTGAAGAAAAGACCCATGAACACAGGACACAGCATGGTCTGACGCTCACAGTGTTTTCCTTTCTCTCTGCAGACACACTCAGCGATTCAGCTCTACAGTATGCACTCTGGGATCTCCCATTTGCTAAGGAAGGATCTTAGCTTTGAGAAAGGTGACACTTTCCTCCCTACTTTTGCTGGAGAACTACCCTGGTTTGAGCTTCCTGCTGGAAATGAGGTTGGGCAGTTTGATGTAAAAAAATGAAGAGTTTAGTCAACAACTGTGGCCAATCACTGCAGTTCCCAGAAGCAGTGATATCATTTAAATAGGAATAGGGGTGCATCAGGGTGGGGAGATATGGAGGAGAGAGTCCGTGTGAAGTGATGGTGAATGCCTTTGGGAGTGTGTGTGCATTTCTCTAGAAAGCATGTTCCTCTGTGCAAAGCATGACCCAAGGATCAATGTTCTAGAAACAAAATTCCATCCCCGCATCAGTCGACACTTCATCCTTTACCACAGCTGTACCTGAAGGTTAGTTTAACATCCCCGGTCCTCAGATTGGAGATGGTGGAGAGATGAATTTCCCAAGCTCTCAATTTCCTCAATGGGAAAGGCGAATGTGAACTCAGGAATGAGTGAAAGGTTGACGTGATGGGCTGCTACTCCACAGTCCTCACGTGGCCCTGGTATAACTCGTCACTACACCAGGGAGTTCCAGCATCTGTGTGTGCATGTGGAAGTATGACAGCCTAGAGAGATCCCACACACTGCCCAGCATTGTAAGATGTTCTCAGTGATGGCGAAAGGCAGGGTAGCAATACAGTGGACTTTGGGGTGGTTCTTAATGTGAAACCCACATAGGGGAGTCACAGGCTTTTGACTGCAGTGGTGGTGTCATTTCTCAGCTCTTGTTCAAAAGCAGAGAACAATCAGGGATATGTCCTATTGTATTTAAAGATATGATTGGACCCAATGGGGAGGCTCATGCCTGTAATCCCAGCACTTTGGGAGGTTGAGGCAGGAGGATCACTTGAGTCCAGGAGTTTAAGATCAGCCTGGGCAACATAGTAAAACCACATCTCTACAAAAAATACAAAAATTAGCCAGGCGTGGGGACATGCTCCTGTAGTCCCAGTTTCTCAGGAAGCTGAGGTGGGAGGATTGCTTTGGCCGGAGAGGTGGAGTCTTCAGTGAGCCATGATTGTGCCACTGCATTCCATCTGGGAAACAGAGTGAGACCCTGCCACAAAAAAACAAAACAAAAATCATGATGACCACAAGCCTTAGAAATGCTCCAGCTTAGTAATACAAACACCCAAGAAGTAGCACCCAATATGATGTCAAAAACAACTTGGGTGTTAGCCTGGTGCCCCTCTTCCCTGCTGGAATCTCAAACAGCCGGGTTAGAGAGGGTCAGCGCCCCCACATGCTGCTCCCATGACAGGCTGTCCCAGTGCCAAAGCCAGGGTAAGTGTGAGCAGTAACAGACTCCACGGACACACACACACGTATGGAAAAGAGAGAGTGGAAGGACAGATAGCACGTGCTAAATAGGGGTTATCTTTAAATGGGAGGAAAACTGAGTATTTTCAAAGCTTTATTTCATTGTCCTAAAAACAAATGGATAGTGAAAAAATAGAAGGTTTTGGTTGGAATTAAATCTTCTCTTTAAAGAAAGCCTGCTTCTTATCGAGTAGAAAACCTCTAGGAGGGGTGATAGTCACAGCAGCACCACTGGTGGATTCTGGGGAGGAAATGACCTTGGCAGGACTCAGGAAGGGAGGGCAAGTGAGCTCGGGTCAGATTAAGAAGCAGGAGCCCTGAGAGGCTGCAGGGACACACAGCCTGCCCTGGGTGGTATGCCCTGTTTAAGATGGGCCATTTCACATTGATGAGGCAGTCAGGGCTAGAAAGCCTTTCTTCCCTGCTCCTGCCCTGCACTTGCTGACAGTCACTATGTGTCCTCCTAGTGGCAAGAGATCCCCTCTTGAGGAGACTCCGCAGGAACACCAGAGATGATAGTGACACACAACAACTGAAGGTCAGGCCACCTGGTTTTGTCTGGGAAAAAGTTACTTTCTTCGCTTTATCTTCTTGAATTAAAATAAGATATGAGAATCTGACCCTATATATCATAGGTGACTTATACAGTGTCCTTGGTGGGGGGAATTCTGAGTGAGTCTGTTCCCCATTGAGGCTTGATTTAAGACGGCAGGAGAAAACGACAGTATCAGCCATGCACTGAGTGGCAGTGAGCTTTTTCCTCAGCAGCTTGATTCTCTCCTTGGGGCAAAATCACTTAATTGCCTAGCAACATGACCTTGAGAGGAAACATCCTCCAAGAAAAATTTTAGCATGAGTCAGTTTGCCCTGTTCTTCTTCTGTGTTCCTTTGATTTGAACACTGTTTTCCATCTGGTTTTCTAATGTCACCAAGTGAAGAAAAGTCCTGTGCACTTGGTACTCGGATGGTCTGAAGCTCATGGTGTTTTTCTTTCTCTCAATGCAGGCAGAGGTACAGGCTGAGGAGAAAGGTGTGTATTCTGGGAGCACTCCTTTCTAAGGAAAGACCTTCAGTGTTGCAAAATGTGGCACTTACTAGTCTGCTTTTGCTGGAGAGACACTTTGGTTTGAGCTTCCTGACAGAAATGAGATTTGGACAGTTTGGTATAAAAAACACTGAGTCCAGTAAAGAACTGTGACCATCCACTCGAGTCCGGGGAGGCAGGATTGTCATTTAGGTGGAATAGTGTGCTGTGCATCAGGGTGGGGAGGTACAGAGGACAGAGTCGTGTGGAGTGATTGGGAGTGTCTTTGGGAGTTGTGTGGGCATTTCCCCAGAAAGCATGTTCCCCTGTGCAGAGCACAACCGAAGGAGCAATTTTCCTAAAAAAAAAATTGCAACACCACTGCACACTTCACATAAATTAACCCATTCATCCTCCACTACAGCTGTACCTGAAGGTAAATTTTATATCCTCACTCCTCAGATAGAGATGGTACAGATTTCCCAGGCTCTCAATCTCCTAAATGCAAGAGGCAAATGTGAACTCAGGAATGTGTGGAGAGTTGATGGAAAGGGTGACTACTGTGCATTCAGCAGCCAGCCCTGGCGTAACTCACCATTAGTCCAGGGACTTCCGGCATTCGTTTTTGCATGTGGAAGGATGATAGCCTAAAGAGGTCCCAAACACTGTCTGTCATTGTAGGGAGGTCTCAAAGGTTGCCTAACCCAGGGTAGCAGTAGGTACATTTTACACTGGACTTTGATGTGGCCATTAATGTGAAACACACATAGCGAGCTCACGGGCTTTTGGCCGTAGTGGTGGGGTTATTTCTCAGCTCATGGTCAAAAGCAGGGAATACTCAGGAACATGCTCTATTGTATTTAATAACATGATTATCACAAGCCTTAGAAATGCTCCAGTTGGCCAGGAACAGTGGCTCACGCCTGTAATCCTAGTAGTTTGGGAGGCTGAGGCAAGTTCAGGAGTTGGAGATGAGGCAAGGCAGAAAGGTGAAAACTCGTATCTACTAAAAATACAAAAAACTACCTCAGTGTGGTGGTCCATCCATGGTCCCAGCTACCTGGGAGGCCGATTGGGGAGGATCACTAGATCCCAGGAGGCACAGGTTCCAGGGAGCAGAGATCATGCCCCTACACTCCAGCTTTGGTAACAGAGACCTGCTATTGAAAGAAGGAAAGAAATGCTTTAGTTACGTAGCAAACACAATCAATACACAGCGCCAAATATCATCCCAAGGAACAACTTGGGTGTTGGCCTCCCACCCATCTCCCCTGGTGGAACCTCCTGCACAGCTGGGTTGGAGATGGTCAGTGCTGCCACCTGCTGCCCCCATGACATTCTCTACTAGTGTCAGAGCCAGTGTGAGTGTGAGCAGCAAGGGACTCCCGACACACAGACATTGCATTGAGAAGGTTGAGTGCAAGGACAGATAGCACTTGCTAAGTAGGGGTTATCTTTAAATAGAGGATAATTGAGTATTTTCAAAGCTTTGTTTTATTGTCTTTAACACAGAAGTTTGGTGAATATGTAGAATATTGGGGCTGGAATGAAATCTCTCTGAACAAATACTGTTTTTACCAAGTATAAAATATTCTAGAATGAGTGATACACACAGAAGCACCACAGGTGGATTCTAGGGAGGAAATGATGTTGGAAGGACTCAGGAAGGGAGGGGAAGTCTAGTAAAGAACTGTGAGCATCCCAGTCTGGTCCCTGAGGCAGTGGTGTCATTTAGATGGAAGAAGGTGGTGTGCATCAGGGTGGGAGGTATGGAGGAGGGAGTCTGTGTAAAGGGATCACAAATGTCTTTGGGCGCGTGTGTGCATTTCCCCAGAAAGCATGTTCCTATGTACAAAGCACAACACAAGGATTACTGTTCTAAACACAAAATTCATCACCATTGTACACGTCACGTCAATCAGCCCTTTCATCCTCCATGGCAGCTGTATCTGAAGGTAAGTTTCCTGTCTTCACTCCTCAGATAGAGATGGTGTGGAGATGAATTTCCCGAGCTCTTGGTCTCCTAAATGGAAGAGACAAATGTGAACTCAAGAATGGGTGAAACATGGATGCGATGGGCTACTACTGCGCGTTTATGAGACAGCCCTAGCATAACTCATCAGCATGCCAGGGAGTTCAGCACCTATGTGTGCATGTGGAAGTATGACAGCCTGTAGAGATTTTAAGCACTGTCATTACAGGACGGTCTTAGTGGTCACCTAACACCGCGTAGGAATAGCTACATTTTACAGTGGAATCTGGCGTGGTCATTAATGTGAGGCACACTTGCAGAGCTCAGGGGGTTTTGGCGGCATGATGGGTTCATTCCTCAGCTCCTGGTGGAGAGCAGAGAATAATCAAGGACATGTCCTGTTGTATTTAAGAACATAGTAACCACAAGCCTTAGAAATGCTGCAGTTCACTAGCACACGCACCTAAGGCACAGCAGCAAACAGGAGCTCAAGGAACAACTTGGGCATTAGCCTGGTGCCCATCTCTCCTGCTGGAATTCCTGCACAGCTGGGATGGAGAGGGTCAGCGCCCCCACCTGCTGCTTCCAGGATGGGCTCTCCCAGTGTCAGAGCCAGTGAGAGCCTGAGCAGTAGCAGACTCCCTGGACGCGTGTGTTGAAGAGGGAGACCGGAAGGACAGATAGCACATGTGACATGTCATGTTTAAATGGTAGGATAATTGTATTTTCAAATCTTTAATTTTGCTTAAAACAGATGTTTGACGGATAAATGTTGTAGAATATTTTGGCTGAATTGCATATTTTTTAAAAGAAGGGCTGATTTTATGATGTAAGAAATCTTCTAGGAGGGGTGATCCACACAGCAGCGCAGGTGGGTCCTGGGAGTAAATGCCCTCAGAAGGGATCAGGAAGGCAGCAGAGGCCGGGAGCGGTGGCTCACATCTGTAATCTGAGTACTTTTGGAGGCCATGGTGGATGTATTGCTTGAGCCCAGGAGTTCGAGACCAGCCTGGGCAACCTGGCAAAACCCCATTTCTACAAAAAAATACAAAAAATCAGCTGGGCTTGATGGGGGCATCTGTAGTTTTAGCGACTTGGAGGCTGAGGCGAAGGATCCACCCGGGCTTGGGAGGTCGAGGCTGCAGTGAGTTGTGATTGAACCACAGCACTCCAGCCTGGGTGACAGTGCAAAACCATCTCAAACAAAAAGTACAACTTAGCTCAGGTTTGAATAGAAGGCTCCCTGAGATGCTGTTGTTGAAACAGCCACATTGTATGGTGTACCCTGTTTGAGATCAGCTTTCACACCGATGAGGGTGGCTTAGCTAGAGAGCCAAGGCTCTGTCTCCCAGGGCTTTCCTGATGGTCTCCTTTGCTTTCCTTCTCCACTAAGGAGGACGGCCAGCAGCTGCTCAGCCTGTGCTGTTATCCCACCTTTTCCACACACGCCAGCCCCCTGTCCACAGCACCCAAAGCTGCCTGAGGGATTCTTCAGCAGCTCCCATGAGCTGACAGTGACTCTTATGTTTCCTAGGTGTCAAGCCTGTGGCAGCAGAGCTTCCTGGGGAGTCCTCAGAGCAAGTCATTGCCATTGTCGAAGTGAGATCTTTCTTTGACTAAGATGGGAATTGTATTTCTCTTGGTTTCTATTTCATTTGAATTAAGATATGCAAACCTTACCATGGACATTATAGATAAGTTACAGAATTTCTTGGTGGGATAATGTGAGAGTTCATGAGCAACTAGGAGCTGGCTCCAGATGGCACGCATAGATGCCACCTTCAGTTACAAACTGTATGCAGATAACATTTTCCTCAGGAGAAATGCTTACTGTTAGAAAATAATGGTGACTTTGCAACAAAAATCATATCGAAAGTCTTAGACGAAACTCTTGTGCCTTTCCACAGGTGTCTTCTAGGCTTTATTTTGGGGCCATTACCTCGAGCACTGTTTCTTGTCTGGTTTCCTAATGTCAGCAACTGAAGAAAAGACCTGTATACACAGGACACAGCATGGTCTGACGCTCACAGTGTTTTCCTTTCTCTCTGCAGAGGGATTCAGCACTTTGGGCAAGTGGTACGTACTCTGGGGTCACCCATTTGCTAAGGAAATATCTTAGTGTTGAGAAAGGTGACACTTTCCCCCCTACTTCTGCTGGAGAGCCACCCTGGTTTGAGCTTCCTGCTAGAAATGAGGTTGGGCAGTTGGGTGTGAAAAAATGAAGAGTTTAGTCAACAACTGTGGCCATCCACTGCAGTTCCCAGAAGCAGTGATGTCATTTAAATAGGAATAGGGTGCATCGGGGTGGGGAGATGTGGAGGAGAGAGTCCGTGTGGAGTGATGGTGAATGTATTTGGGAGTGTGTGCATTTCTCTAGAACATTGATCTTTGGGTCGTGCTTTGCACAGAGGAACATGCTTTCTCTGCACCTCCTGACAGTCACTCTGTCCTCCTAGGTTGCACAGAGGATCCCGTGGAAGAATTCATATATGAATCAGATGAGAATGCCCCAGGACCATCGTAGGTCAGGCCACCTGCTTTTGTCAAAGAAAAAAGATAACCCCTATTTGAATTAAAATATGAGAATCTGACCATATGTATCATAGGTGACTTACACAGTGTCCTTGGTAAGGAGAATTTAGAGTGAGAGTCTGTTCCCCACTGAGGTTTGATTTAAGATGGCAGAAGAAAATGACATCATCAGCCACTCAGCAGCTTGATTCTCTCCTTGGGGCAAAATCACTTAATTGCCAAGCAACATGGACTTACAGGAAACATCCTCCAATAAAAACTTAGGTTTTTAGCATGATTCGGTATGTCCTGTTCTTATTTTGGGTGCTTTTGGGTGGTCTCATCGTGACAGTCAATGTCCTGGGTCTTCAGTGTCTATAAAGTCCCCCTGCAGCCCTCCTGCCCGCTGTCTTGGCATTGCCTCCATTCCTGGTCCCCAGGCTGCAGCGTTGAATCCTGTTGAGCAACCCCACAGGGTTTAGGAAGGGAGCCCGGCTGAGGTCAGAAGAGTTGGCGCCACCCTGCAGGAAGGGTTCCCAGTGACGTCTGGGTCTGCTGTGGCCGCCCCCCTCCGCCCCGGGGCTTTTGCTGCACTGGGGTCTCTGGACATGCGCACTTGTTGTCTTCCTCCCAGATACCAACAAGCCCTCTCCCGGCACCTGCAGAAAAAGTGGGGAAAATCCCCGAAGAGGCAGAAACGTGAGTGTGCAGGGGCGGCATGACCAGGGGAAGGCAGACAATGCCTGTGTGCCCATGGCTGCCCTCATTCTCTTGTTGTCCCATCAGAAAACCTAGTGAGCTGAAGGATGAGGCTGCTGAAGAGCCTGAGCTCACTTGTTGTGGCCTTTGTACTTATGCTGGAAATCCCTAAAGGCAAGTGAAGGATGCCCTGAGAACATCCTCCAGGGAGCAGACAGCCTCTCCATAGCAGCCCCTGAGCCCACCGGGCTGAGCCTTCCATAGGCTGCTTTAATGAGGGAGGGGCTGAGGTGCTGGTCAGGCTACCAGATGCAGGATTCTGAGGGCCATGCAGCGCGTTCCTGTCTGCAGTGCCACTTAAGCTCATTTGAGGGGACCCAGCCCTGCCCTCCATGTCCCCAGAAGACAACAGGGAGGGAGCTTCACCAATTCAACATGAGCAGCCACTGGGTTGATCATGAATCCCCCTGTTGCATGCCTGCTGGGAAAGGTGTGAGAGGGAGGGAGGCAGCCCCAGGCTTCTTGCCACACAAGCAGCCCACCCAGCCCAGCATTGCACACCTGCGGGCACTCAGTAGGTCCTGGCATCAAGAAGGGGAAAGGCCAGGATCCAAGACCCGCTGGGATGTGCCCAGTCCCAGGGACCCCCCAGCCTCCATGGAGCCCTCGGTGCCTCGGGTGGCCTCATGGCCCCATTTCTCAAGATGAGTTTGGAGGCTTCTGTGTGTAGAGAGCACTGATTTGGGCATCAGTGGTTCTGTGTCTGTGTCAGATGCCAACAAAAATACTCGTGAAGACAAGTCAGGGCCATGCTCACTTAGGAGTTGTTGAGGGGCAGGATTCAGGAAGTCACTGTTTTAAATGTATTTTCCAATTTGAAATTAACATATATGAGTGTGTGTTTTTGTGTATTTTATAGATATGTGTGTGTATATATGTACACACACAGTCACACACACACACAGTTTTTTACTCTTTAAAACAGTGGTTTCCATAATCTTTTTATGCTGGAATGTATTAAGTGAGAAATGCATGTTTTAGCAAAGCATTAATGATTTTTTGAATGAAAATGCATAGACAGGGTTGGTGGGGATGTTGGAAGGAACAAGTCTTATTGGGCGATAACAATGATGTGCTCCAGGAAGCGGCACACATTTAACGTGCAGCTCTTCTGTCTGGATGGCGTGGAGGGTCTGGGTGGAGGGGCAGGTCACCACCCCACCCTGTGTCATCAGACCTCCTGCTCCTCCCAGGGCCCGGGGGCATGGGGCTCTGCCTGTTGATCCTTGCTCTTTGTGTTTCAGTATCTGGAGGTCCAGTCCCCTGAAGGCGCCCATGTGCGTGCCTGGGCTCAGTGCCTCCTGCAGGACATTTATAGACACTCTGTGCACAGACAACCCCCTCAGCAGAGAGCAGCACACAGGCCTTGGTGCCCTGTGGGTGGACTCTGGGGAGGCCAGGGGCCCAAGGCCACCTTCTAGGGCCTGAGGAGCCCTCTGAGACCTGCACACCCACCCCAGGGAGCGCCCCTCCCTCCACCTCTGTGCCCCCCCAGTGACTCTCGAACCTCTGTCTGTTTTGCAGATTCATCCGGAAGGGCCGCCAGCCAGTGGATTTCCCGGGCCCCTCAGCCCTCTGGAGTGTACGAGTTTTGGAGAAACCTCTTCCTCTGTATATGCTTTTGACTTTCCTGGACTGATGTAAAAATACTCTTTTCTTTGACCTGTTTATTTTTAAGACACGATGTGATTGTGTCAGCTTATATTTTATTGCTGAAGTAAATTTTCAAATGTTTTATTAGTTTTTTTTGGATCTTTGTCCGCTCATTTTGGAGTTTTTGTAATTTTGATAGGTGTTCTTTTATGCTTTGTATTGTTTTCTTAATGACTTTTACCTTAGTTTTTAACAAACCCATAGTACAGTGTTATACCCAAGCGAGTCAGAGAAAACGCCACACTTTGAGACGAATTAAGAGTCCATTATTGGCCGGGCGCGTGGCTCAAGCCTGTAATCCCAGCACTTTGGGAGGCCGAGGCGGGCGGATCACAAGGTCAGGAGATCGAGACCATCCTGGCTAACACGGTGAAACCCCGTCTCTACTAAAAATATAAAAAATTAGCTGGGCGTGGTGGCGGGCGCCTGTAGTCCCAGCTGCTCAGGAGGCTGAGGCAGGAGAATGGCATGAACCTGGGAGGCGGAGCTTACAGTGAGCTGAGATCGTGCCACTGCACTCCAGCCTGGGCGACAGAGCAAGACTCTGTCTCAAAAAAAAAAAAAAAAAAAAAAAAAAGAGTCGTTTATTTAAGCCAGCGGCCAAAGAGATGGCTAACGCTCAAAATTCTCTCGGCCCTGAGGATGGGGCTTCATTAACTTTTATACCTTGGTTTAGGAAGGGGAGGGGAACTCAAATGCAATAATTCTACAGAAGTAAAAACATGCAAGAATCAAAAAAACAAATGGTTATAGAGGGAGAAACAATTTAAAAGACAAATGGTTACAAAAAAAGCAACGGAACCAGGTGCGGGGCTCTAAATCCTTCATTAGAGTTCGATATGGATGCTCTGCCAGACACGGACTCAAGGCTTTATGCTGTTATCTCTTTGAGCAAAACCCTGGGAACTTCATACATTGTTTGTTCCAGTACCTTATCAGTTAATTGGGCTCCTTTGAAATGCTGAGGATCTGCTTACACAGGTTAACGCCTTGAGGAAGGGGTTTGGGTAAGGAGCCCTTGATGTCTTGTTAATCAAGAGGCCAAATGGAGTTTGTCCGGCTTTCCCAGCTAAGGGAGAGTCTTATTCATATGGGAAACAAGGCTGGGTAATTAAGGAGACAAAAGGGAAAATTTAAAAATAGCGAGTTACAGTAAAAACAAGGTTAGGCATTACAACAGTAAGTTATATTAAGACAATATTTTGGCCGGGCGTGGTGGCTCACGCCTGTAATACTTAGCACTTTGGGAGGCCCGAGGCGGGCAGATCATGAGGTCAGGAGATCAAGACCGTCCTGGCTAACACTGTGAAACACCATCTCTGCTAAAAATACAAAAAATTAGCTGGGCGTGGTGGGGGGGCGCCTGTAGTCCCAGCTGCTCGGGAGGCTGAGGCAGGAGAATGGCGTGAACCTGGGAGGCGGAGCTTGCAGTGAGCTGAGATAGTGCCACTGCACTCCAGCCTGGGCAACAGAGCGAGACTCCACCTCAAAAAAAGAAAAAAAAAAAAGAGAGACATAGTATTTTTAATGTTTTTTAATAGCTTATATTCTGTACATCTTTTCACATGTAGAAATGTTAATGGCTGGGCGCAGTGGCTCACGCTTGTAATCCCAGCACTTTGGGAGGCTGAGGCGGGAGAATCACTTGAGCCCAGGAGTTGGAGACCAGCCTGGGAAACATGGTAAGACCACATCCCTACTAAAAAAAAAAAAAAGTTTATGTATATATATAAAATTATCTGGGCACACTGGCACATGCCTATAGTCCCAGTTGCCTGGGAGGCTGAGGCAGGAGGATTGCTTGAGCTCAGGTGGTCGAGGCTGCAGTGAGCCATGATCGCACCACCGCACTCCAGCCTGGGTGACAGAGTGAGACCCTGTCTCTGAAAAAAAAGTGCTTGTTTATATTAATATTAGTTAGAAGTCTACTTGTTTATAGCAGAATTAAACTGGTTTATAGCAGATACAAGCTCTTGGAGGAAAATACTACACTTCATTCCAGGCCCTGAGTCCTTAGTAACTGGCTGTGTGCCCTGTAGGGCTCTACGGTTCCTGGTTGAGGAGCAGAGAGATCAATTGCTCCAGTGTAAGGGGCGAAGAGTTCCTTAGGGAACGGCTGCTGGGCCCAGCTTTGCTATTGTCTTCGCTTTCTAGTAAGCCTTGTGTTGCTGAGGTCCAGCTGTGTGAGTATTAACACACTAACGGTATTGCAAGCTTCTCCGAGCACGTGCAGGCAATTGGCGAGAAGCTTAATATGTGTAAGCAGTGTGAGAGAAGCCTTTTAAGGGTGTTTTCTTGGGTGGGTCAGGTGAGGGAAATGGCATGGGGTTAAGAAGGAAACTGATTAATTCATGTAAAACTGCCATCCCTTCATCACCTGAGTTGTGATGTGCAGGCACTGAGCACACTGCAGGTTGAGAACATACGTGGGTCTTTATTGCAGCCTTGTGCTGTGCTCTTCAGAGCCGTGAGTGTGCTGCTCTTACTCACCATGTGGTTTCTCATAGATTGTTGTGTTTGATGCTGGAAAACATTTTGAAGACAAGACTCCAAACAGCGACGTATGCCACACTAGCTGATTAGAAAATGAGAAACTTATGTTATCAACAGGCTTGGAAGATTCTTGTGGTCCTGCAGTCACCCACATTTCCCTGGTCTTCATCTTGCCACTCCGCTTTATTCTCCTTTTCTGTTGCAGTAGCTATAATGCCACAACTTTTTGTTTTTTTCTCCCCTTTTCTTCCTTCCTGCCAGCACTCAAATGGCCACTCGTATTAAGTGATGGAATTCCACAATTTTTTTCTGTATATTAAACCTGATACTATTTCACTCAGTTTATCATCGTTAGGGTGCAAAGTAGTCACCTAGAGGTGCCACTCAGTATATAGCACTGTGTTTAGAAATTTAGGGAGCCGTGAAGTATTTAGCCTCTGCTCTCTGAGACTTCAGCCAGGTGCAAAGAGCAGATACAGAGCTGAATGTGAGGTTGAGTTACTTACATCCAGCAGTACCAGAATGTGCCTGGGAATCATGGGGGTGAAAAATTAACTCTGACTGAGGCAGGTATCTCTGATGCTTTTTGGAAGGAGGATGGGGTCTGTGCCAGGCCTTGGATGTGGGAGAAGGAGGAGCTGTCAGGAAGCAGCAGTGGCCTCAGCAACGGCACTGTTGTGAGGAACGTGGGCTGTGTTTGGGGAACAGCCAGGGGTTTTGTGTGGCAGGTTTACAGCACCTGTAGGAGACTGCATTGGTAAGTAAGCCCAGAAAAGTAGGCTGGGGCCAAATTATGCATGACTTTGAAGGTCAATCTGATGAGTTGAGTGGGATAAATAGAAACTATAAGTAGCATCACCTCCATTGAGGACAGGTTTTGCTGCCAAGAGATTTTTTAGACTTTGTTGGATTGTGTAATTGTGGATGAAGAATTATTGACCTGAATGTATTTGATCTTTGATTGTTTTAGTATGCCAGATTCTTGGAGGTGAAATTGCTAAGTCAAGGTGATGAGTGTTGTTGAGACTTAATGTTGACTGCAAAATTAACCTCTAAAAAGGCAGTGCCAGCTTAGAAGACCATGACTGACTGAGAGTTCTTGTTTTATCTCGACCTTGCAGAGCTGGGTGTTACAACATCGAGAACCCCTGCAGGTCCTCTTTCTCTCCCTCCCTCCCCCCTGCTCTCCCTCCCTTCCCCTCCCTCCCTCCCCCTCTCTCTTCCTTGGTTCTTCCCTTTCTTCCTTTTACTTCTCCTATGATAGGCTCTCATTTTCTGAAGAGCCTGCTGCTCTCTTCCCATTTATTTATGATGCCACATTTATCACATTCTTTTTTTTTTTTTGAGACAGAATCTCACTTTGTCATTGAGGCTGGAGTGCAATGGTACGATCTTGGCTCACTGCCACCTCTGCCTCCTGGGTTCAAGGGATTCTCCTGCTTCAGCCTCCTGAGTAGCTGGGATTACAGGCATATGCCACCACACCCAGCTAGTTTTTATATTTTTAGTAGAGACAGGGTTTCACCATGTTGGCCAGGCTGGTCTTGAACTCCTGACCTCAGGTGATGCATCCACCTCGGCTTCCCAAAGTGTTGGGATTACAGGCGTGAGCCACTGTGCCCAGCCACATCCTAACTTTTGATAACATGCCAGGATCTTTCTTTCATGTCCTCTCAAAGAGGTTAAATATTATTTTCATAATGAGTTATAATTGAGTTTTCTCATGTCAAATGTAAAAACAAAATCATATAGTTCATTGACTCACTTATGTCTTACCAGCCTTTTTATTACAAATTATTGTATAGTCAACGCTTTAAAGTGTGTCCTATTTTTTCCTAAGTTTTATCAATAGATGATGATATTGATGATGAAATGTTTGATGATGATCATTTAAAGGCTTATTTTGAATAACTGGCAATTCCATGAGTGATGGTATTAAACATATGAAGATCTAGAAGGACTGGAGCCTCCGGAAAAAGACTGGACATTACCTGCAAGTGCTCCTAGTCAGGAATGTTCCAGTCTTTATGGCTTTTCCGAAATTTGGCATTAGAAAATCACTATCGTCCTCATTGGATGTTCACATGAAATTTAAGCCTCTGGTTGTCTTTGGACTCCATTTTTTCCAGGTATGAATTAATGAGGAATGCCTGCCTTTTCTTCCTTCTTCCTACCTCTCCCTCAACCTACAGAAAATTCAAAGGCTAACACAATGGAGATTTACATATTCTTCATCCAGATTCACCAGTTGCTAGTGTTTGCCACCTTTGCGTTTTTTCTGTCTTCATACTTTCTTCCCTGAGTCATTTGAAAGTAAATTGCAGAGAACATGACATTTTACCCCAATACTTCAGCATCTATCTCTTGTGAATCAGGACATCTTTCTCCATAATCACAATTCTATTATCTAACTTTGATACAATAATTTAAATTAATATACCATCCACATTGAAATTTATGTGATTATCTCCCAAATGTCCTTTATTTGTATTGTTTTCGATCCACAGTTTAATCAGAGATTAACCTCGCCTTTGGTTGTCATATTTCTGTATTCTCTTTTAATTTGGAGTCATTCTTTCATGACGTGTGAAACATTTTGTAAAATCTAGGCTCTTTGTTTTTCAGAGTGATTCGCAATCTAGATACATCTGATTGCTCCCCTGCCTGGACTAGATGAGATTAAGCATTTTTGCAAGAATACAGATTAAACAGTTTCCTAATGAGTGGATTCAGATTAAACATGGGCAGCGTGGTGTACTTCTTAGTGCCTCACACCAGGAGACGTTTGAGTCTGTCTGTCCCATAATTTGTGATGCTGTATTTGGTAATTTTGGCCAAGGTGGAGTCAGCTAGGCATCTCTTTGTGAAGGTAGCCTTTCCCCTTTGTTATTAGTCAGTCATCTGTGGGATGAGACATGAAAGCCCTGTGAACATCCTGTTCCCTGACAACCCTTCAGAGCTGGTTTCAGTGCCACTGCTGAAGCCTCTGGGAAACGTTGATTACACTCACGGTGACGGTGGCAATTTCTTGAATTCCTTCTACATTGACTGCCTGCGTTATTCAGTGAAGCAGACATGGCCTATTCCCTACATTTGCCCCTTGAAAATGTTCAATTTTAATTTAAAAGATTAATACAGCCAGGATATTCTTTCAACAGGCAAATAAAAACCGCAGTTTAAACTCTAAGTTTCAATCAGAAACTAACAGCTCTTGGATTTCCCAGGGCTCACACTCCTCTGAAACAACTCACGAAGAGCCTGAGGAAGCAGTTCTCACTGGTAAGTGGGCCAGTTTATTTGTCTCCCTGGGACTAGTAAGTACGAAACAGTTCTTTTGTTCTTAAATTCTAAGTTTGACTTCACCTTTAAAAAATTATTTCTTTGGTATGATTTAGCATGTATTAACCCTTTTCCACTCCCTCAAGTCTAAAACTTTTCAAAAGAACTTTTAAGAATACCTGGGTAATTGGTGTTATTAGAAATACCATAGTCTGTATTTCTTGGGCTGAATGTTATGAATGATTGTATTCTACCCAGACATCGAGAATTAGCTGTGAATTCTCTCATATGGTAGTAGTTTATCATGTTTATTATTGCCTCTTACTGTTGTGTATTTTCTCTCTATGCAAATTGTGGAGTTTGTCATATGAATGCCAAGTATTAGGTTTACATAAAAGAATGATTTGACAAGAAGGATGCAGTTATTATATTAGATTGCTCAGATTGGACGTTGCTCCATTAACTGTATTTTTCAGGTAATTCTGTAGTTACTGGAGGTAGTAGAAGGCACACAGATCATGCCATTTCCCTCTAGTGCTTGGATAATTGAGAAAGAAATGGCAGAAAAATGTGAATGGTATTTCCAGACCTTAGCAGGGTAAGTTATGCTTTAGATGTCCTATGAAGGGCATAAGGAGTCTTTTGTGTTTGTATGATACCAGTTTTTTTCAAAGAAACAATTCCTGTTGACATCTGAAAACTATAGAAAAAGTATAAAAAATTACTACAATAATGTTTCTGTATGTAAGTTTCTTTCACATAATTTTCTTACATTTAAATATTTAATGTCTTGTGTTTAGATCATTCATGTGGAAAGTTCTTTGGCCCAATGTCAAGACATTAAATAAAAAGCAAACAGACCTTTTACCTCGCTCAAGCATATTTGTTTTTCATTGTTTCTGTTTTTTCTGTTGGTTAATACCACCCCATTTTTTCTGTGCTTGAGACTTGGTCAGCATTTCTGACCCTTACCTATTCATTATGCCCTTTGTTAGTAATGTACGACTCACGACTGTAGAATGGCGTTTACTATTTGGAGGGAGTGTGTGTGCTATGGAGACAGTCATTCCATCCTCACAGAATTCTATGAGTGGACTAAAGCAGCAAGAGACAGGATTGTCATCTTAAGGGAGATGAGGTTCAGAAGGCCTAAATCCTGTCAGTACAGCCTCAAGCCTTGCCTTAAAGATTTTTCTTTCTTGTTTATTTCATTTACACCAATTCAAGTTCAAGGTGCTAATTAACACATCTAATTCATTGCCCCATCTACAGTGTCTCACTACTCCGTCATGCTTGAAAGCAGCAGATTAATCTTGTTACAGTGGCTTTTTTTGTGTATAATATTCTCTATGTCCCTATGTTTCATATTAACAGTTCTTAAGGTATTGTTTCATCTGGTCCCACATTATCTGTCTCTTTTACTTTCTACATTTTTCTCTCTTCTGTCCCTAATCCAAATTATAACCATCTTTCCAGTCTTTGGTCATGTCTTGAGTTACTTTTTAATCATTTTAGACTACATGAACTGATCTGAACTCCTATTAGAGTAACTGTATTCCACAGTATAGTACTTTATTATGGGTAGAAATGCATCACTTACCTAGAAGTTGCCTATTCAGCAGCTTCAAGAATTTGTAATTAACCAGAGGAAGCAGTTACATAGAAATAAAATACAAAGGCATTTTCTCAGGCAGCCAGGATGAGTGTTCCAGAGTCCGTGGGTTTTCCTCCCAGTGCTGTGCTGTAGACACTGGGACATGTGTGTAACCGTGATGTGCGATACCATTGATGTGTATGTGTAGGCAACAGTGCAGAGTTTTGTAATTTTAATCTATTTAGTTAATGGATTTCCAGCCCTCAGCCAGTTGGAGGTAGCAAATTAGGAATAAGAAAGAGATAACAGGCCAGGCATGGTGGCTCATACCTGTAATTCTAGCAGTTTGGTAGGATAAGGCAGGGGGATTGCTTGAGCCCAGGAGTTCAAGACAGCCTGGGAGACCCTGTCTCTACACACAGACACACACACACACAGACACACACACACATGCACAGCATGCCTATAGTCCCAGCTACTTGGGAGGCTTAGGCGGGAGGATCACTTGGGCGCAGGAGGTGGAGGCTGCAGTGACAGAGTGAGACCCTATCTCACAAAAGGAAAAACAGAAGAGAGATAGCATCTATTAGTTTTGATTTTTGTCAAAATGTGATTGTTGATAAGCTTTATAAATAGGTCAATCTGTGGTGACTTAATTTTGGGCTAACATCTTGTTCTGCTATAGTACGGCAACTATTTGATAAATGACTATTGAAAACAATATATTTAGTTTGAATACGGTTGAGTCTCACAAATTGTTGGGGAATCTTGGTCAGGTTGTTTCAAATGAGAGAATGATCAGGAGCCTTCTGAGTGATAGGTGTGCTGCTTGGTGGTGTAGGTCATATGTAGATAATCTCCCTTCTGAAAACTTAGTAGGAAAATAAAAGAAATACTTGGATAACTGTAAAATAACTTGATTAAAGCAGAATCCGCGTCATTGGATCATGTAGCGCCTACTGAGAGAAGTTCTCAAGTTCTGATTGAGTTCTAAAAATTTTTGGCTGTTGGAATTCTTCATGTGTGAGTACAAACATAATTTCTGATGATCCATTTCTAGTCCATCTCCGAAGAAAGTATTTAACCTGGACCAGGCATGATGGCTCACTCCTGTAATCTCAGCACCTTTGGAGGTGGAGGCATGAGGGTTGCTTGATGCCAGGAGTTTGAGACCAGCCTGGGCAACATAGCAGGACCCTGTCTCTACAAAAAATTTAAAAACTAGCTGGATGTGGTACTGCATGCCTGTATTCCTAGCTACTTGGGAGGCTGAGGCAGAAGGATCACTTGAGCCCAGGAGTTGGAGGCTACAGAAAGCTATGATCTAAGCACAGCACTCCAGAGCAATACCCTGTCTTTAGAAAAAAAAAAGAAAAAGCCAAACAAACAAACAACAAAAAAAGAAAGTGTTAAATCCATAAGATGTCCGCGTATGTAGGAGCCTCCCAGCTCTCTGATCCTGAAGCCGTGAAGGGAGGCAGGTAGTGTGGAGGCCAGTGCAGCCTCACCTCTGGCAGCTGAGGATCAGGGCAGAATGTGGAATGAACATCCACATCAAAGCTTGATTGCTTGGGTGGCATAAAAATCTCTACCTGTAGGTCAGCCTTAAAATACATTACTTTATAAAGTGATGATGATTCCCCTAATTTGAGGCCATGCAGTTTGTGTTAACTGAGAGAACCATATTGTGTCCTTGATTTAATAAGTAGCCTGCCTTCCTTATTGTATGACCTCTACAGAACTTAGAAATACAAGCTACCATACTAAGCAAATTTCTTTCTCACTTTCTGTCTTGATAAATTTGCCTACTCTGGGTAACCTCATGTGAGGGGAATCATACAACATTTGGCTTTCCTATTCTGGCTTATTTCATTTAGCACGATGTCTTCAAGGTCTACTCATGTTGTAGCATATGTCAAAATGTCATTTTTTATGGTTGAATAATATTCCATTGTATATATGACTTTTTTTCTCTCTTCATCTGTCAATGGGCAGTTGGATGTTTTGAGTCTTCTGGCTTTTGAGTATAATGCTGCTGTGAATATTGGTGTACAAATACCTGTGCAAGTCCCTGCTTTCAGTTTATTTAAATATATATGCAGAGGTGAAATTGCTGGGTCCTGTGGTAGCTCTATGCTTAATGTTTTGAGGAACTGCCACGCTGTTTTCTCCAGCAGCTGCACCAGTTTCCATCCACCAGCAAAACGGCAGGGTTCCAACTTCTCCACATCCTAAATGACACTTTTACCCCCTTCTTTTTATTATCGTTATCCCAATAGGTGTGAGGTGGTGGTACATCACTGTGGTTTGGATTTGCATTTCCCTGATGACTAGTGATGTTGAGCATCTTTTCATGTAATTATTGGCCATTTGTATGACTTCCTTGGGGAGCTGTTCATTTAAGTCCTTTGCTCAGTTTTTAATTGAGTTGTTTGGCTTTTTGTTGTTGAATTGTAGAGTTCTTTATGTCATCTGGATATTAATTCCTTAACAGATATATGATTTATAAATATTTCATTCTGTAGGTTGTCTTTCACTTTCTTGATATTAGTCTTTCATGTGCGAAAATTTTTAATTACGATATAGTGTTATTATCTATGTTTTCTTTTGCTCCCTGTGCTTTTGTTGTCATATCCACGAAGTTGTGAAATTCAACGTTGTAAAGGATTAAGCCTTCATCAACACACAGGATGGATGCCTTTCCATTTGTTTAGGTTTTCTTTCTTTTAACAGTGTTTTGTAGTTTTCAGCATGTCTTTTGCTTCCTTGACTAAACTTATTCCGAAGTACTTAATTTTTTTAGATGCTATTATAAATGGAATCACTTTCTTAATTTATATTTTAGATTGTTTATTATTGGTGTTTAGAAACGCCTGATTTCTGTGTATCGATCTTGTGCCCTTCAATGTTGAATTTATTTACTAGCTCCAGTAGCTCTCTTGTGGATTCTTTGGGATTTTATGCATATAGGATGATGTAATCTGCAGAGAGAGATACTTTTACAACTCTTTCCAATTTGCATGCCTTTTATTTCTTTTCCTTCTAATCGCTGTCTGTGATTTCCAGTACACTATTCAGTAGCAGCAATTTAAGCAGGCATCATTTCTTGTTCCTAATCTTATAGGGATAACTTTCCATCTTTATCATTCAGTATGATGTTAGCTGTAGATTAAAACAAATACCCTTTATCATGTTGAGGAATTTCCCTTCTATTTCTAGTTTTCTGAGAGTTTCTATTATAAAAAGGTGTTGGATTTTGTCAAATGCCTTTTTTTTTTTGCATTGTTTAAGGTGATCATATAGTTTTATTAATGTGATTTATTACATTTATTGGCTTTCTTATGTTGAACCACATTGTCATTCCTGGGATACAGCCCAGGAATGGTGTATCCTGGTTATGGTGAATACTTTTTTTTTACATGCTGTTTGATTTTTGAATACCAAAAAAAAAAAAAAGAAAAAGAAAAAAGAAAGAAAAGAAATGCAGCTCCTTTAAGTCTCCTAAAGGCTGCTTCAGCCAGTGGGTTTGAAACAGTGATGGGCAGCTTCTGTGTACCTATCCCGGGCAATCAGAAGCAGCAATTTGCAGTCAGGACATAGAACCCTGATAAAGCGGAGGCAAGGTTCTATTGCCAAATGTGGCTCCAGCCATCTGCCCTAGAAACACAGATTACTTTCTCTACACTTGTTGGCCGTGAGCCTGGGGCTGGGTAGCCACTGTTATGCTGAAGCCTGAAGTTGGTCCACATTAACTGCACTTTACCAGCTAAGCTTTTTCCCTGGTAGCTGGAAGTGTTCAAAGAGACCTCAGAGTTCTAACAGTTACTCCAGAGAGTCTTTTTTCAGTACACTATGGTTGTTGACTAGGTGGAGACACACATTTCTGGCACTTTCTACTTTGCCATCTTTCCTAATGTCACTTCTTGTTATCTTTTCATTTCTAATGTTATAGGCAAATAATCAGAATTTGGTTTGGAAAATCTAACTAATTTAAATGTTTAAGGTTATCTATATAATATATATATTTCATGGATCTAAGAAGATGAACTAAATGCGTTTTTGAGGGGTTTTAGCTTTACATGGTTTTAGTTCAGCATTTTATATGATTCCATTTTCTCTTTTTTAGCATATGAGACATAATTCTTTGTTTCCACTTTTTTAGTGGTTGCTCTAGTATTTGCAACATACATCAATAATTAATCCATGCTCACTTTCAAATGACATTATCCTGCTTCCACAGTAGTTTGAGTACCTCATAGTAACAAAAGATTTCTAATTCCTAAGCATAATGTGCTTAATATAACTGTGTTTTTCACCTTTTTCTAAATTGTAACTTTCTCTTGCTAGCTGGACACCATATATTAAGTAAAAAGAACAGCTTTCAACATGTTGCGGTAAAACGTTGGAGAGGGGAAGCATTCCACAGTTCTGGGATGTGGTCCCAGTCTTTCAGTGAGCCTGTGCCTTTGGACTGTGCACTTCACAAGTGTGTCTCGGTCTTTCTCCCTCTCAGGTTGAACAGGGTGGCTAGAGGGAAATGGAGTTGGGTATTTCCCTTCCTCTAGGCTAGTTAGGCTCAGCTAAAACCCCAGCAGGTTAGGCTCTGGTTAGTCAGTTTTCCTGAGGACTGACCTAATTAAGAACAAAGTGCCATGTCATATTTCAAAGTGGCCCCTTTCCCCCTCCCTGCTGGAAGTCCAGAGGGATTTTTCTCCAATATTTGCTGTGAGAACCTGGTCATGTTCCTGGAGATAAAACTCACAAAAGCATAGGGGCCCACCTATGACTGGGCCCCCTGGAGTTTTTTGTTTTGTTTTGTTTTGTTTTGTTTTGTGTTTTTTAGTAGAGACAGGGTTTCACCGTATTAGCCAGGGTGGTCTCGATCTCCTGACCTCGTGATCTGCCCGCCTCGGCCTCCCAAAGTGCTGGGATTACAGGCGTGAGCCACCGCGCCCGGCCTGGAGTTTTTAAGCCTCAGACTTTTCCACACTGAGCGTGCAGCAGTTCCTCGATTGCATTTCCGGCTTTCCTACGCTGGCTGTGGCTACTGTGGGGGCCTCTGCTTGGGAGTTTATGCTCCCATATGTTATAATTCTCTGCATTCATCTATCTCTCTCTCCAGCTTTGGAGGCGGTGGTTTGTGCCGTGACTTCACTTCTCTCAGAGATCTCAGAAGAATTGTTGACTTGTCAGTTTGTTCATCTTTTTACTTGTTGTTGGGATGGAGTGTTGACTTCCAAGCTCTTGATGTGCAGAACTGGAAGCTAGAAGTTACAACTGCATTTTTCATTCAAGATTATTTCAAGTTGCTTTGCGGGCGAGACAGCTGGTTTTTCACATTGTGCTTCTTTTTCATCTTTGCAAGTGTCGTATATGAAAAGTAGTTGTCTAGTTTTACATGGTGTTTCTTTGTCATCTTTGTCCTTTTTCTATTGGGGTATTCATATCTTAACTATCAGTTTTGTGAGGTTTCTATGTTATGGAAATATATTGATCTTTATGCATTTCAGCCTTTAATGTATGTCAGTTTCCTAGGCTTGCCAGAACAAATTACCACAGTCATGCTGGCCTAAAACAACAGAAATTTATTCCCTCAGGTTTCTGGAAGCCAAAAGTTTGAAATCAAGATATTGACAGGGTGGTGCTCCCTCCAAAGGCTCTAGAGGAAAATCCCCCCTGGCTGTCTCAGCTTCTGGTGGCTCCTGACATTCCTTGGCTTGTAGCAGCATCATTCCATTCTTGTCTTTCTGTTCACTTGGCCTTGATGTCTCTGTCTGAAAATTTTCCTTCTTTTCTCTGATAAGGACATTGGTCATTGTGCTTAAGATCCACCCCAAATCCAGGAAGACCTCATCTGAAGATTCTTAAGTAAATTGCATCTGCAAACACCTTGTTCTAGAATAATAATATGACAATTTATAGTTACCAGGCTCAGGACTTGAATGTATCTTTTTGGAGGGACACAGTTCAGACCATTAGAGTATTATACTTAGATGTTATCTACTGAAGACTATAAGCTAATTAATCTGTATCTTCTTCTAATACTTTCACATCTCAATCTTTACGTCAGCATGCTTTATTTAGCATTTTAATGTTGTAACTTCCGGAAGCTGAGCCTTATCAGGTCGTTCCCTTTCTTGCTCATCTTACAGCAGAAGGGGCTGCTGTTAATAGGTTTTATTGGTCCTTGAGACCACGGTGACAGCCAAATGTCCACAAGCAGTACTGAAGACATCTGAGCCCCTTTTCAGCAGTTACAATTTTAGGAGAGACTAAGACGTGCCACTTGGAAAGATGTGATGGAGAGCGTAATTTTAAGGCACTGGCTAAATTTGCTGTGTCTGCTACAAATTTTATTGGACTGCTCAGGGGCATTTGTAGTATCCACTATTTTACTCCTACGAAGAGACACTAATATCTGTGTTTTCAGGGGCCGTTACTCGTATTAACTTTAGGAGGTTGGTCACACTAATGGGCTGACCACCCTTGTAGAGACATTGGTGGGTCATGATAAAAGTTAAGCTGACATTTCTATCATTCTCTCATGAAACGGATACACAAGACCCACTTTGGTATCTGAACCTGTTGATATCTGGGGCCCAGGGGTTGGGAGCCCTGATGTAATGGAACCTGAGGCCACTTTCAGCATCTGAATCCGTCGATGTGTGTGTTTTTCATGACCACATCATAGCTTTTGGTTTGGTCAGCTGCTTATGTTTGGTTCACATGTAGTCTGGAATACAGTCAAGAGTGTATATTGTTCCTTCAAATAATACAACTTTTATATCAACTGTATAATTTTCCCATAAATTTTAGTATGAGTTATGAAACATAAAACTTACTATTGCTCTGTTACTGATTCTCTCTTAAAGGAAAATGCAAGAAAGTATGTTCCGGTGAAGACCCTCAGCTCTGTTCATTTTCATGATGCAAATGCCCACAAAGGTGGTTTTGACCTGACTGACCCTGTGCAAGGAGGCACAGTCTCCTCACCAGCATAAGCACGTGGCATCAGATGCGGAGACAGTTTTGGACGTGGATGGATGTTTACACACTGAGACTCCTTCAGTGTCCCTTCAAGAAAATGTGGACACAATGTCTCTGAAGCCTGTTAGTGACCATAGAATTAATTTCACTAATACCTTTCGGTCACCGACTCCTGAAAAGAGAACACGTGAATATCATGAGTCCGTTGAAAAAAGACAGTAAGTGGGCTTGAAAAAACAGAATAAAAGAAACACAAGTTTTCATTTTGATCAAGGTTAAAAGGATGCAGTTAAGGAACAGCTGCCTTCCACCTGAATGAGCCACTAGATGCTAAAACACTTTTGCTTGTCTGTAAACATGTGAATACAATTAGGTTTATATTACTTTGAAGAAACTATTGTGTTATCTAAATTTGTAACGTCACATTTGAGAGACTCAGTGATTAAAAACAGCTATTTTCACTGTAGTTAAATATGCCTTTGATTCTGATTTTCAAACAAAAAGAAAATATACTTTTAGTAAAAATGTGTCTCAGAGGAACACTATTACAGTTTTTCCACTTTTATTAAGTGGTTCTCTGCTCACTCCCTTTTTCCCCACCAGAATTGCGGAGGACTCAGGTATTCCTATTAACAGATAAGTTATTCCTTTCCTAACCTCTTTTAAGATATACAAGCACATAGATTCCAAGTACAAACCTTTCAAAGTAGGAAAATGTCCTTCTCAATATATTCCCGTGTTCTCACGGCTTCGATACCCAGGGAATCTTATTTAAATTGGTTCACTGGAGGCAGTACCTACAGGGTATTTATAACAAACATGAAAAATATGTCGCTAGTTATCAGGGATGCAATTTTTCAACAAGTTCTTTGATTTGCTTCATGTCCTTTCACTTACACCTAACTTGATGAAAAAATCCAAGAACATCTAAAACGAATCATGCCCAAATTGAAAGGCCGTATTTGTCCTATCTGAACTAACATTTATGTTGCAGTAGTTCTGTTGCACTTTCATACTGTAATAGGATGTTAAAATCAAATTCTTCCTCTCACTTTTGACTGAGGCTTTTAGATAGATTCCAACCACTTCCAATAGGTGCTAACCACTCCCAAATTCCAAGCTTGTGGTATAAACTTTAAAAGTACATTTAGGTTTTCTCCCGAGTTCCTGACACAGAGCTTCACAAACCCTAGGAATTTCCTGAATAAGAGTGTCTTTCATTACTCATACAAACCCCTTTGGACTATACCTGAATTTATGCCAGCAAGATGGCTCATGGATGTGGGGCGGGGAGATGGGCTGGATGGCTTCAGGATAAAGGCTGTTTGCCAGAAAAACCAATCATGTAATTCGGGGGTTGGAATTTTCACCCTCCCAATCTCTGGGGAGAGGAAGGGGGCTAGAATTGAGCCCAGTCACATGGCCAATGATTTAAGCAATTACACCTATAAAATGAAACCTAGATAAAAACTCAGCAATAAGGCTTGGAGAGCTTCCTGGTTGGTGAATCTATTGATGTGCTAGACAGACAGACCAGTTGGAGAGGGCACAGAAGCTCTGTACCCTGGACCCCTCCAGACCTTGCTGCCCTGAGTATCTCTTCACCTGGCTCTTCATTTGTATCCTTTATAACAAACTGTCATTGTAACTATAAAAAAAGAGAAACAGATATTTGTACATTTTGGATAGGGTGTATATTCATGTGGGCTGTGTCAGTCTTTTAGGTTGGAATATTTAAGTGTTTTATAGTTCAGACAAAATTTCAAATATACTAGTATAGGGAGAATTGCTCAGAAATCGTACCTTTCATCAGAGTTCTAGTGGAAATGTACCTTTCTATGTCTTAGCATTTTTTTCTTTATTTCTCAGTCTCAATTATTGACTTGTTTTCATGAGCACAGCTGGCTTGTCTGCCATAAAAGAGATATTTTCATTTGGGGAAATGGATTTTTCTTTTTCCAACACATTTTGGGCAGATTTCAGTGCTGTTGGTAATTAAGGCAGTCATCTAGATAAAACAATTATGTGAGAATGTCGTATCATTTTAGTTGTTACATGTGTCAATGGATAGTTTTGGAATTCTGTTTTTTAGAAATGAATCTCACACAGAATGTGGTCTATGGAAATGAAGAGGGCAGAGGGGTCATGGACCTTGCCTGTCACACATCTTTTACGAGCAAACAAAATGTGATGAGATGACTGAAGACTTGAGATCTGGTTGTAAGTATATGATGAGCACATTTGTTGTATGGTTTTCATTGTTTCTGATGGTGTTTCTGAGGTTGCCCTACTCAGCCACATCAGATCCCTTTGGGACTATCATTGTATTCTGGAAGCTCTTCAGTTACTTTCATAGGAACCAAGGTTTGAGTGAGCTGGTCTTCATCACGGCAGAAGCCGAACCATTTGTTGAAGCAAAGCCAATGAGTGAGAAGAGCAGTCTTCTACTTCTGTGTAGACCCCATAGTATTGCAGGGCTGGAAGGGACTTTAGGCTTTGCTTGTCCACCTTAAAAATTCTGTCCTGAGCAAAAGAAATGTTCTGGTAAATGAGTCATTATAAACAGCAGCCCATTTTAGAGTAAAGGCTAAGAAGTGTGATAGAAGTGATGGAAGAAAAGTGACAAAAAAGATAAATGAAACCTGAAGGGATAAGAGCATGAAAGGAAGCAGTTAGGCTGCTGATCAGCATAATCTTGACAGTGAAAGTACAACCTGTCTTAGGTCTGCAGAACGGCGGGTCATGGCGTTTTGAGCTTTAGCCTGTGAAGATGCTGTGCCACCAACCGCAGGGCCTGGGCTCCTCTATAACTGGAAGGAGCCACAGTGCTCCTTGGCCTGCCAAGCCCAGCCTTATTGTGAATAGGCTCAGAAGGGGCCATAGGAGAAATTATTCTACCCACCGCTAGTACTAGGCTCTCCCAAATGTCCAGTGCTGTGGAATGACCGCGATAAGTCATGCGTTATTAGAGCCACATGCATTTAGACACAGGAAAGGGACGGGTCCACATGAGAGTTAACATCTTTGGCTCTTCAAGCACAGGCAGCAGCAGGGACAGAGGAAGGGCGGGGCCCTGCGAGCCGGCTGCGCCTCCAACCCCCACTCTGCCTCGTGACTAATGTATTTAGATTTTCATTATAAAGTTTACACAAGTCCCTCACATTTTCAAAAACTTACTTGACTCTGGTCCTTTATGTAAATTTCAGATATGACTGGTGTATACCTCCTGTTTATTTTCCTCATATTCTATGTTTTACAAAGCGACAAACATAAATTTTCTAATAGCCTGCATTTCCCGTTGCAAAATAACTCCTTTGTGTATACCACATCTAATTCAGAAAGATAACCCGTGTAGATTCCTTTATTACATTACCCGAGTTTATATCAGCATGACTTGAATTTGTTGTATTCAGTTTATCTGATTATTTTTAAAATTTTGTCACACTCAGAGTGATACCACCAATGAGATGAGCACCACAGTTATTCAAGCCAGCCCAGCCCTGTCCGAGGAATAGGCTGTGGAAAAATTGAGAGAATTTCCATTTCAGAATATAGGAAAAGGAACATAAAGGAACATTACCATCTATGATCCCAAACGACTGATATGAAAAAATGACTGCAACTACTTCTCTGAGTAGCAAGCCTAAAGATGTAAAACCTAACCTTAGATCAAGTGAAGATCCTTCCTCCAAAAGTGGAGATCTGTTGGAACCCAGTGAGGTGGATTGGACGTCAGACCTCAAGAAAGTGGACCGGATCGGGCTGGCTCTCCTGAGCAAGTCAGGTCTGAGTCGTCAGACGGGGTCAGCTGCTCACACCTCCCTGTGTCCTGCCAGGAGACTGTAGATGATGATCAAAGAATCATCACTAAAGCTACGTCAACTGCAAGTTGTGAGCTCAGAGGCCGGGACCTGTTCCCAGCGGAACCATTCATGGCTCTGCAGCTGAGACGCAGAACATGGGGCTGCGGTGCCTGCACTCTTGATGTCACCCCTCCCAGCACAGCTTCCTTCAGCCAGAGGTATTGAAGAACACTCCCTTCAGCTGGAAGTGTCGCCCTGCCTCAGTGCCAGGCTGGCAGGGCCATAGCCTGTGGCTTCTCAGGAGGCCATCCCTATCCAGCTGTCACGGGAGAGCATGTGCAGAACTCTGTGGCTGTGGAATTTGGGACCAAATACCGGCTCTGGATGGATGGGCACCTCTTCCATCTGCGACCCATATTCTGATGCCTCACATCGGAACCTGCTAAGCACAGCGAAGCCTTTTCCTGTGCATTCTATTGGTACAAACTGGAAAGAAACCACGAGATTCAGGAATGACATCAGTACTGGGTGAGATGCTTTTGCTGTGTTACTGTTGTTGTTATTTCCTAGTTGAATTTTTTCAAATGACCCCACAAAGCTCGTTTGTTTCAAGGAGTTACTGGTTGGCCTTAGTTTCTTGTAAGTTTTGTGCTTTGTCCTAAACTAAGACCACCACAATATATTTCTGTGCAAGGTTCCTGAAGATGGCTTAGAACACACTTAGCACCTATACAGGTGACAGGCTGCCTGCGGCTTCGTCTTCCTTACCTCTCTTTTGCTCTGTTGTTGCAGTTTTGTGATTATTTCAGCTAGGAAATGTCCAGTTTAGAGTTGAATCCTGGAGTGAGCGAGTGCTTCCAGCTTGTGAGTTTCTGGGTGTCTGTGGTGGAGAGGCAGCACTCAGGTGCGTCCGTGAGGCAGCTTCTCTCTTGCTGATGGTCATGTGCCCCCATAGCTGGGCTCGTTGCTTTTCCTGACATGGTACACATGCTACTGGGGTGCTGTCTTGTCTGCCCTCCAGAGCAGCTGCGTGAGGATGGGGCAAAGATGGGTGGTAGTATTAGAATCGGCTGGGCTTTACATCTGGAAAGTCAGAGCCTTTATGGTTTTCTTTGAGGTTAAGCGGTGGCTTATGATCTGTGAGAGAAAAAAGGAAGACATGACAGTAACATGAAATAATTCAGTGCCTATAATGGTGAGTGTGATCTAATCTTCATTGTTTTTCCTGGACTGGATGGAAGCAGGAAGAAAATGTTGGCAGGCCTCTGCTGAGGCTCAGGCAGTGGCAGGGAGTCCTGCATCTGGAGCGCTTTGAACTGTGGCTCTGGGCTACAAACAGGCCGTCCCGTAGACTCATTGCCATTGAACCGATTGACCTATTAGTCAGGGGTCTGGTGTCACTGGCATCGTTGACTGTGCCTTATTCTCACCGGGGAGTATCTGCCTGAGGAGTGGAAGCTTCCTTCTGCCTGCGGTGTTGGGACGGCTTCCCAGACCCGCCTTCATGTCCTCAATGCAGCCGACCCCTGGCTGCAAGTCAGCATCGGGGTCCTGAGATCAGTGTCAGTGAGGAAAAGACAGCTTTCTAGGGCGCTCTCCGTTGATGTAACAGTTGCACTGGGAGTCAGTGCTGGATTTCTCCTTTCTCGGGGCCAGGCTCTCCCACCCCTTTCCCCGCACACTGGCGTTGCCCTGGAATCTTCTCCTCAGGCCCCATTTTGTTGTAGTGCTTATAATGTACAGTGAAATCTGAATGTTTTGTTTTTTTCTGTCATTATTTATATTTCATTGTTACTTATTTATAAAATTATACAAATTTGTTTGTAGCACTATTACTACAATCACTGAAAGCTCAGAGATCCTGGTCGCTCTACTTGTTAATTTTGTAAAATGGGACTGAATATAAGTTACTGTCATTTATCAAAAGAGAGAAGGAGAGAACCAAGTTAATCTTGGGGCTATGCCTTCATTTGGTAACGGGAGTCTTTTTGACCAACTTATCTGATGACTTTCTTACGTAAGATTTTGAAATAGCTGGAAATGCAGTTTTAACATGAACTCTGGCAAGGGTCTCTCACCTGCTCAGTTGTAGCTGCTGTAACTCTAGACTCCACATCTCCTTTCCTGGTTACAAGGACCATTTGAATGGCAGGGAGTGGGGAGGGGAATAGGGTCAGCAGCTCCTGTTTTTCAGTGTCCTGGTTTTGTGATTGCTACTTGCAAACTAGCATTGGTGGATGGGTTTAGTCTTCCCGCATGCCTCTTAGTGACCCTTGTTTACCTGGTAAAATAAGATGCCCTCCCCCTCCCCTTTCCTGGCTTTTCCCCTCTGCTTTCAGATCCTCAGCTTAGGTGAAAAGCAGGTGATTGAAGGAAAGGGTTGAGGGTGAAAAGTGGGCTGTGAAGACTTTTTAGGGACACCCAGGAGTCTGTGAATGAAGCGGTGCTGTCTTTGGCAGTGGGGAGTAGAAGAGAAGATCCCCATTGAGAGAGACAAGGGAGAGGTGGCCAGAGTTGTGTCATCACAGTCGGGGTGGGGTGGAGCTGTGGGACCTCAGCGATTAGCCTGTCTGTCCCCACCACGCTGTGTATTGATGTTTCTCATTCACCTTTTCTTTTTTTTCCCAGAAACTACTAGTTAACTTTGTCAGCTGTTAAGATATATTTCTTCGTTTCTTCTCCAGGCCCATGAATTCTGGGCCCTCAAATCATAAGTGAACATCAGCTTACAGTCAGAGCTCTCTTGTCAAGAGTACTGAGCTTGCTTGTGTGACCCTTGGTTAAAGCACACTCTGCTCTGAGGCACACGTGGCGTATCCCCCTGCCTGGGTTACGGAATTCTTTTGTGTGCTCAATCAGCTGTTAAGGCCTTACAGAAGAAAAGAGTCCCGCCTGCAGCAGTGGGAATGCCTGTGCCTGGACTGCTTGCCCGCAGCTTCCCTGGGCTGGCTCCTGGGAATTCCCAGACTTCTTATAAACAGTGTTCCGGGAGCACCACGGCTGCTCCCACCCCCTGTGCAGATGGCATTGTGATCGTCTCTCTCCCTGTCTATATCCTTCTCTGGAGCATAAGCTCTAAGTGTGGGAATATGGTATCCTTAGCACCTAGCTCTGTCTTTTGGACAAATAAAATATGTAGAAAATCGTTACCAAAATAATTAGATCAAGGACCTTCAATTTGGATTGCTTTCTCTGCTAGCATCTGGAAAATATTTGTGCAGCCATTTGGGCCTCAGTGTGAAGTGGTGTTAAAAGGTGAAGTCCATTCTAGCTAGCATTTGGCTACCTCTGCCGCTCTCCCTGTTACTGTGGGGAGTCCGGTTATGAAGGTGATAACTTGTAAACGAGTCTTTGTCCTACTTGGCAGCTTTCTCCCCAGCCCCCATTTCCCCCTTCATGGTCAGAGTGTGGGATGGAGACAGATGGGTTGGTTCCGTCATCTAGGATGTTCAGCTGATGTTGGTGTCTCCTGTGAGCTTAGCAGGACTCTTCTGGCAGGTGCAGAGCTCTTACATGTACTTAGCTCGGGTTTAATTTCTCTGTAGTTCAAATCTTCTGAATCATTACTCATATTTTTGTTTGCTTAGCCTTTCAGCTTCTGAGAGATGGTTGTAGATCTGAAATTTCTCCTACAAGGAGAATTATACATCCTATCATTTCTTTTGTGGGTGTCACACAGCTATATTGTTACATATGTTTAGGTTTAGGATTGTTTTGCCTTCTGTGTGGAATGATTCATTTTTAAGTAATTCTTGGTCAGACATAGCGACCCATAGCGATGTAATTCCAGCACTTAGGGAGGCCAGGAGCTTTAGACCAGCCTGAGCAACCCAGTGAGACTCTGTCTCTAAAAAAACGTTTGAAAAATCAGCCAGGCGTGGTGGCCCCGGAGGTCCAGGCTGCAGTGAGCTAGCATCGTGCTGCTGCGCTCCAGCACTGGCGACAGAGCGAGGGTCTGAGCCTAAACAAACTTTAAAAGTAATAAAATAAAGAAACAGGCCGGGCGCGGCGGCTCACGCCTGTAATCCCAGCACTTTGGGAGGCCGAGGCGGGTGGATCACGAGGTCAGGAGATCGAGACCATCCTGGCTAACACGGTGAAACCCCGTCTCTAGTAAAAATACCCCAAATTAGCCAGGCATGGTGGTGGGTGCCTGTAGTCCCAGCTACTTGGGAGGCCGAGGCAGGAGAATGGCGTGAACCCGGGAGGCAGAGCTTGCAGTGAGCCGAGATCGCGCCACTGCACTCCAGCCTGGGCGACAGAGCGAGACCCCGTCTCAAAAAATAAATAAATAAAATAAAATAAAGAAATAAAAATTCTCTTTACCCCTTTTGTCTTAGAGCCAATTTTGTCTGGTGTTAATATTGTGCATCATCTTTCTTTTCTTTTTTCTTTTTTTTTTGAGACAGAGTTTCCTCTTGTTGCCCAGGATGGAGTGCAATGGCACAATCTCACTCACTACAACCTCCACCTCCCGGGTTCAAGAGAGTCTCCTGCCTCAGCCTCACAAGTAGCTGGGATTACAGGCGTGTGCCACCACGCCCGGCTAATTTTGTATTTTTATTAGAAACGGGGTTTCACCATGTTGGTCAGGCTGGTCTCGAACTCCTGACATCAAGTGATCCACCCGCCTGAGCCTCCCAAAGTGCTGGGATTACAGGCGTGAGCCACTGCGCCCGGCCCATCTGTTATTTTCTTCACGAGTTTCCTTGTGTATCTATTTCCATCATTTTGTTTGCAGTTTTTAACATATACTTTAGTTGACTATACCTTAAAAATTTAGCCAAAATTTTTCCTTTTGTTTCTTCCTTCCTTTTCTGCCTCCTCTTGGATTATATTTTCCTTTGTCCTTCCTTTGCATTACTTTGGACATTATGTGTTTCTATTTCTGCGCACTTCATATTGCTTACTCAAATCTAAGGTGAATCAAGAGCTCTGTTCTATTTTCAAACAACACAGTCAGCTTTCTTCATTTAAATGCTCATCTTTTCCTTCCATATTACCTTTGACCAATATTTTAGTTCTAAATGGCTTTTGAAACCCCAACATTAAAAAAGTTTTACAATAGCAAAGACTTGGAACCAACCTAAATGTCCAACAACAATAGACTGGATTGAGAAAATGTGGCACATACACACCATGGAATACTATGCAGCCATAAAAAATGATGAGTTCATGTCCTTTGTAGGGACATGGATGAAACTGGAAACCATCATTCTCAGCAAACTATCGCAAGGACAAAAAACCAAACACCGCATGTTCTCACTCATAGGTGGGAATTGAAACAATGAGAACACATGGACACAGGAAGGGGAACATCACACACCGGGGACTGTTGTGGGGTGGGGGGAGGGGGGAGGGATAGCATTAGGAGATATACCTAATGCTAAATGACGAGTTAACGGGTGCAGCACACCAACATGGCACATGTATACATATGTAACAAACCTGCATGTTGTGCACATGTACCCTAAAACTTAAAGTATAATAATAATAAAATAAAAAAATAAAAAAGTCTATTAAAACAATTTTACAGATTGATGGAGCTATTTGAACTTGTTCATGCTCAGCATCGCTTCATGAATCTTCTACTTTTTCCTCTGTTGTAGACTTTATGATCTGTATTTGAAACGAACCGTTGTGTAGTTGATTTCAGATTTCTGTTTCTTGAGGCACTAATGTTTCCACCAGTTACTTTTGTTGAATCTTCCTGACTTTCTTTGAGTGGATTCCATTTTTTTGGTATTTAAAAATGTTTCATGCAAGTTCACATTGATTGAGGCTGCTTTTCTGCTTTAGGAATCCCATGTGTCCTGCTTTTTGGAAATGTCCCTAGAGGATACTTTGCAGAAATGCTGGAGGCACTGAAAGCCTTCGTGATTTTTAGCCTGGGGCTCCCATGCCTGGTGGGGCCTTGGCCCAGGCCTTCATGTTCCTGTTAACAACCTTCGATGCCACCCACCTCTGGACAGGTTCCTTGTTATCCCCACAGACATGCGATCAGACTTTTTTTCAGTTTTCTTTTTATTTCTAGAAAGAATGCTTCTTTGACTTTCTGGGCTTTATGTATAGAATTCAAATTTCATTTTAGCCTCTCCCTGTCCACAACAAGAAGTCACACCACAACAAGCTTGAAGTCACATCGATTGTTCTCTGGAAGGTATTAAAGCTTTACCTCCTTGAGGGTCAATCTGGACCCCAGACTTTTCTGAGCCACTGTGGAAGTCAGCTCCCTCTTGCCAGGCGGCCTTTGATTTCCCTTTATTTTATGGTTGTATAAGGCAAAGAAAAATGTGTGTGTGTTAAATATATTCAGCCCTGTGTATCTGTGGGTCCTGCATCCTCACATTCTACCAAGCTTGAATCAAAAATATCCACATCCCTTCATAAAAAAGCTGGTTGCATTTGTACTGAACATGTACAAGCATTTCTTCCTTGTTACTGTTCTCTACACGGTAATGTATAACAACTATTTACGTAGCATTTACACTCTATTAAGCATTGTGAATAATCTAGGAATGATTTGAAGTATGAAGGAGAATGTGCCTAGGCTGCAGGCAGGTACTGTGCCATTTCATGTCAGGGACTTGCCCAGATTGTGGTGTCCAGTGGCGTTCCCACGTCTTCAAATATTTCCATATGTGGGGGTCTCAGGGTCTCAGTTATGTTGGTCACCCCTGATTAAGGAAGTCAGTTCTTCATGATCATAGGCACTTTTTGGAAGCTTTAAATACGTCTATTTTGATATATTTTAAACATTTTTAAATAAAATCGGAAAATGCGAAGATACTAGTGGTATTTTTGAAAAGAATGGAGAAGTCATTATTCTAAGAGTAGGACTCATTGTTAAAACTTTCTAATAATAGAGGGGAGGTCTATGTAATTTATACAATTGTCACTTCATCTCAAGATTAAATAGCCTTTTCCAGGAGGCAGCAGCTTAATTCTCTGGTCCATTTGGGTATATAGATGACCTCAAAAAAAGAATTTAATATTTATCTTTGTAGAAAATAAGCAATTGGAAAGTTCTCCTTAATCCTGACTCTTAATTTATGGCTAGAAATGGCATTGATATGAACATAAGGAGTGCTATTTATTAATATATTGCTTTTCATAAATCAGTTCCTTTTTTGTAATTAGGTAGAAACAGAACAGAAAGCCATTCTTGATTTTGGTGACTGGAGTTGTGGAGGCTGGAAGTCTCTGCCAATAAAAGCACTGAACTGGACACACACCACTTACCAATCAAGTTGATTCTCAATGTTGTGAGTATGAATGTACAGGAAAAAATGCTGTTCACAGAATACATTCTATGAACTGAACTATTTTTGTTAAAGATTTTGTTAACACAGTTCATGTTCTTATTGCTATTGGCTTTACTGACACTGAGTCTTCTCTTTCGGAACAGAGCACCGTGGCCTGGCAAGATCGGACGTTTTCCGAGGAACCCGGCTGAGCTCCTGTGAGAGCTGCTCCCTGCACTGATGTGGTCCCTTGGCTGGCAGGCTGCTCTGTGATCAACCAGGTGACACCTGCCTGTTATGAGGGACAGGTAGGAGAGGATGGGCTTTCCATCAAAACAAACAAAAAAAAGTAAGTTTTTCAAACTCCTTTTCTTTCATTCAGATTTCCTCTTAATACTAGTATATATTAATTTTTAAATTTTTATTTCATAAGGTCCAGAATTTCTGATAATATCACTTCTTTTCCAGAGTCCCAAGAAGGAACTCGGCTCTTCAGGTATGATGTTTATGTTTTCTGGGAATTGCTTTTCTGTGTATCTAAATAGACTACAAATTTGAGACTGATTTCCTCTGTCAGTACATGTGAATACTTCCAGTCATCTGTCAAGTATCTTCTGTTGTTCTGACAATGAGGCAGATGCCTGCTGTTTTGGGTCAAACCTAGGTGAATGTGCATGACCACAGCAAGTACCACTGAGGACCTATTGGGATATTTTCTCTAAATTGATCTCATCTCATTTACCAGTTGGATGTGCTCTTGCTTTCTCTGCTTCTCCACTCATTTCCAGTCCTATTTTAATTCTTTAAAAAATCTTCTTGCCTACATTTTTCTGTGGCCCCTAAGGACATTGTGTTGGACTGCTGATGGCGTGTACAATTCAATAAGTGTCTGGTCTCTGAACTAAAAGAACAACCCTTTTGAATTTTAGAGATTCAGGACTCAGGAGAAGACTTCGTAGTGAGAGTTGACGTAGAAGTTGACAGCCCAAACCCCACACCAGTTCTTAGAAGTATTGATCTCCAAGAAAGAGCAGAAAGAGCTACAACTCCTGCTCCCAGGGACTTACAGGTACCCTCAGTCCTCCCCTCTGCCTTCATTGTCTTGCATTCGGACTGATGTCGCTTTCATGGTGACAGATTGTTGAAAGGTTTGTCTCACTCCATCTTCTAGATGATGCATTTGGTGGCCGTCGTGGCTCCATCCACAAAACAGACCTTACCTCTGAGAAACGCTGGGAAAGTTGTAGGTTATTTAGATATCAACCTATGAATTATTGTCAAAGAACCATAAAGTAGTCTTTCCTGAGACTGTGAGGGTTCCCTGCCTTCTGAGGGTCCCGGTGCTGCCTGCCCCTTCAGGGTGTCCTGAGGACCAGATGATGGAATCACTGAGAGTTTTAAACACTGGCTGTTTCTCTAGTGTGAAGTGTATGCTATGGTGCTCTCAGTGTAGACTCCAATGTCTTGAATGTGAAAAGCAAGTTCTAGATTGATTTCTGAAAAATGTGCATGTCAGCTTGTCGCTGGAATTGGGGAAGAGTCACCCACACACTTTGACCTCTTTTCTGAGACCCAAAGGTGAGTGAGAGTATGTTAGTGACAGGAAATCGGGGGTGCAGTTTGTGGGACATCAGGTTTGTTATGGAAGAAAAAGAAGAAAAAGAGGCGCTTTCCAAGAGAGCAGGATGAGTTGAGACTCTGATGGACTGGGAGAAAGGGAAAAATAACCTCTCTTGGTAAATGAGAAAGGAATGTAAGGCAGGAGTCACTGAGTGAAAGCTGCCTTTTTGTAAGTCCGCATTTAATTATTATTCTGTCACTGTTTAGGTCCCAGAATGAGAAAGTCCCTCTTTAGTGGATCTAGAGAATCTATTCGTTAAACCTGGAGAAGAACATGAGGTTATAGTTTCTTTTTCTCCAAGGGATCCCAAAGTTTGGGAGGAAAGGTAACATAAATATGTTTATAATGACAAGTTTTACTCATCTCTCAAAACAGCCACTCTCTTGGAGGTGCTTCAAAATCCACCATCTGAATGACAAAGTCCACATCTTACTTTTGCTTATAGATGTTATGAATCTGTGTAAACTCTTTCATTTAGCTTCAGATTTTCTTTCTTTTACTGAGAATCTCCTTTGAAACCAGCTGAATAGATATTAAGGAATCATTATTTTTAAGTATATTCTGACAAAAGTAAATAATGAACAAAAATTTTTATTTTTCTCATTCACTTTTCTTATTCTCCCAGAAACTATTTGTTGATTTTGTCAGCTGTTGAGCTATATTTCTTCATTTCTTCTATAGGCCCATGAATTCTGGGCTTTCAAATCCTAAGTGAATATCAACTTAGAGCCAGAGTTCCCCTGTCAAGAGTACCAAGCTTTGCTTGTGTGACCCTTGCTTAAAGGGCACTCTCCTCTGAGACACACATGGCTTATCCCCCTACCTGGGTTACAGAACTCTTTCGTTTGTTTAGTCTGCTATTAGGATCTTAGGGAAGAATAGAAGAGTCCTGCCTGCACCAGTGTGAATGCCTGTGCCTGGAATGCTTGTCCTCAGCTTCCCTGGGCTGGCTCCTTCTGGGAAGCTTTCCTCCACTCTTCCCAGATTTCCCATGAATAGCATGCTTGTAGCACCATGGCCGCTCACATCCCCTGTGCAGATGGCATTGCGATCGTCTCTCTCCTTGCCTATATTCTTCTCTGGAGTACAGGCGCTAAGGGTGGGAATAACATTGTATCCTCAGCACCTAGGTAGGTCTTTTGGACACAGGCGATATAGAAAATAGTTGACAAAAGAATTGAATTCAGAATCTTCAACTCAGATTTCTGTCTCTGTTAGGATCTAAAAAATGTTTGTGCAGCCATTTGGACCTCAGTATGAAGTGGTGTTAAAAGGTGAAGTCCATTCTTCAGGAAGTAAACCTCTGCCACGTGGATCATGCTCAGACATCCTATTGAAGTTTGTCCAACAATTTCTTGCTTTGGAAGGTGTCTCTCTTGGTGGAACACAGTAAGTGTCAAAGATGGGCAAATAGTCAATCCACTGTTTATACATGTATTGGAGAAGATCCCAAATTAATGTTTGGAGGACAATTTTGTTGTAACAGACAGTGTTGAGGCTCAGTTGTACAGAACTGGAAAAGCCTTTAGATGTGCATGTGTCTAGATTCAGCCTTTGTTTAACATATATTCCAATCCTGATCCTGCCTTCACCAGCTGCAAAGTACCTGACATGTGACCACAGCACAGGAGCTGCTGAAGAGGGAGTATTATCACCTCAAACTCACAGCCACCTGGTATTTTCAAGAGCCAGCCAAGAGAGATATTTACAGAGAGCTGTGGAGAGAACATGCAGTCCATCCAGGCATCTCATTCAGCTAAATTTCTCAGTCTGTCACCCCGTGGTTTTAGCAGACACCGCAGAAGTGGTTTTGATGCTCCAGCCTTGGGTGTCACACTGTGCCCATACCAAATGGAGCACCTCAAAAGGAGCAGACCCTAAGAAATGGGATTTAGTATTTACTGTAAAATTAGGTTTTTGAGACTCCCCATATTATACAGATTCATCTCTAAAGGTCTCAACTTTCTCTTTTAATACAAGGCAGAGAGGCATAGACCACAGCTTAAATAATTTATTAGCTGCTGATTTTCCCCAAATTTGAATAAGACCCTTCTTTTAACAGACAAAATGTGGGTGAGATGGCAACATAACTCACAAAAAACTGGTGCCTCTTCTTTTTTGAGGTGGTTATGGGCTTGTGGAACTCAGCTGGTCATACTCACCTTATAAGTGGATTGGAAGGTGTATGTGGGATCATCTTTATCCTCTGGGATGTATCCTCACCAAATTGGACTGTCTTCCATCTAACTGAGAAACTGTAAAGACTCATTATAGAAGCCATCTGCTTCCACCAGATGGCTATACCTTCTTCACAGGCAGCCACGATCAATGTTGAGCTGCAAGTTGAGGCCTTGGCCGAGCACACGGCTGCAGTTTTGAGTAATACACACCATGCCCTTACCCTCCTGAGGACACCTCTCAGATTAGGCAGGTGGCCTTACCAAACCGCATGGCAAAGCCATTTTAACTGCAGCTCAAGAGGGAACTTGTGCTTTGATCAAAACCAAATGTTGCAGCATGTTTGAGACTATTCACATAATATTACCCAGGCTAAGAAAGCTTTAGACACTCATATCTCTGCCATTGATGCACTGTCAGTCAACTCCATATCGGCTTGGTCCCGACAACTGCCCAGTCTTTGGAAAGCCTTCCTGTTAGTTTACCTGGGATAATTTTACTTATTTTGCTTTGATGTTGTTGAGTATATGATGGTTGTACTCTTCGTATAGGAACACAAGATAAGCTTACTCGATACTTTCTTAAATTGGACACTTATTAATCTTCCAGGTTTCACCTTTTGCTGGAACTCAGAGCTACAAATGATGCTTAATGTACCAATGCCTTCTGACTGAACTCCTCTCTGCCCTGAATACAAGAGACCCTAATAGTTATGTGGAAATATCATCGCCCCGTTCAGCATGAAGAAGTTACAAAAGATGGACCTTCATCCTTCTGCAACCCTTAGGATTAAGGGTCCTCTTGTAAAAGGGAGGGGAAATATGTAAGAAGCATTCAAACCAGAGCGACTCCATTTTGAACAAGGGCTAAGAAAAATGAAGCTGGGTCCTGTTGGGCTGCATGCCCAGGAGGTTAAGCATTCTTAGCCTCAAGATGTTTACAATTGAGGGAACAGATTAATAATGTTTCCTAAACAGACTCAGGACTTAACAGACTCAGGAACGTCTTGATACTTTGAGAACAAAAGCACTTCTAGTTTTAAATACGCATTGTACCTAGGCTGGATGCTTTTCTTACTTTTGGAAATGCCCTACCCTGTCTATGGAGTCACTATTCATTCCCTCCTTTATTAAAGTTGCTTCTATTTTGCACTGTGGACTTGCTCCAAATTCTTCCTTGCATGAGATCCAAGAACCCTCTCTTGGGGTCTGGATTCGGACCCCTTTCTGGTAACAGGTGGATCTACCATTCTGGGGTCTGGAGGATGGTAGCCCTCTTCTTACAGCTCCACTAGGCAGTGCCCCAGTGGGGACTTTATATGGAGGCTCTAACCCCACGTCTCCCCACCACACCATCCTAGTTAGAGGTTCTCTGGGTTTTGTATAAATTTTCTGAAATCTAGGCGGAGGTTCCTAAGCCTCACTGTACACCTGCAGGCTTAACACCATGTGGAAGTTGCCAAGGCTTACAGTTTGCACCCTCGGAAGCAGCAGCCCAAGTTGTACCTTGGCCACTGTTAGCCATGGCTGGAGCTGGAGTGGCCAAAGTGCAGGGCATCATGTATTGAGGCTGCACAGAGCAGGAGGTCCCTGAGCCTGGCCCATAAGACCTTTCAGTCTTCCTGGGCCTCCAGGCCTATGTTGAGAGAGACTGTCATGGAGGTCTCTGAAATGCTTCTGAGGCTGTTTTTTCATTGTCTTGTCAATTAGCAATTGACTCCTTTTTACCTGGGCAAATTTTTGCAACTTGCTTTTAATACCTCCCCCTGAAAATGGATTTTTCTTATCTACTGCATGGCCAGATTGCAAAGTTTTCAAATGTTGAAGCTCTGCTTCTCTTTCAAATATAAGTTTCAGTTTCAAGTCATTTCTTTACTCAGGCATATGAGCATAGGCTTTTAGAAGCAGTTAGGTCAAATCTTGAATGCTTTGCTGCTTAGAAATTTCTTCCACAAGATACCCTAAATCACCTCTCTCAAGTTCAATGTTCCACTGATTCTTACAGCAGGAGCACAATGCCGCCAGTCTCTTTGTTGAAGCATATGAGAGTGACCTTTACTCCAGTTCCCAATAAGGTTTTTATCTCCATATGAAACCTACTCAGCCTGGACTTCATTGTCCATATCACTAATCTGCATTTTGGTCACAACTATTTAACAAGTCTCTAGGAAGTTCAAATTTTTCCCTAATCTTCCTGTCTCCTGAGCCTTCCAAACCCTCACAAGCTGCAGATGATTACCAGTTCCAAAGCTGCTTCCATATTTTAAGGTGTCTTCAAAACTGTCCCACTCTGAGTACCAATTTTTGGTACTAGTTCATTCTTGCATTGTTATAAAGAAATGCCTGAGACTGGTTAATTTCCAAAGAAAAGAGGTTTAATTGGCTCATGGTTCCATAGGTTGTACAGGAAGCATGGCAGCATCTGCTCAGCTTCAATTATGGTGGAAGGCAAAGGGGAAACTGGCACATCACATGGCTGGAGCAGGAGGAGTGGGGGTAGGCACTACACACTTTTAAACATGATCTCATGATAACTTGCTATTGCCATGGAAACACCAAGGGGGATGGTGTTAAACCATGAGAAACTGCCCCCATGACCCAATCGCCTCCCAAGAGGCCCCATCTCCAACACTGGGGATTATAGTTGAACATGAGATTTGGGCAGAGACAGAGTTCCAAACCATATGACTCCATGAGCATTAAATATATGCAGAAAAAAGCATTTGACAGATTCAACATCTATTAGTGATGAAAACTATCAACAAATTAGGTCTATAAAGAATGTGCAACTACACAATATAAAGCCACATATGACAGAGCCACAGCTAGCATCATCATCAACGGAGAAAGAAGATCCAGAACAAGACAAGGATGCCCTCTCGCCACTTCAATTCAGTATAGTACTGGAGGTGTTAGAACAACTAGGCAGCAGAAACAAAAGACATCCAAATTGGAAAGAAAAACGTTGAGTTGTCCATTTGCAGATGACATGATTTTTTGTTTCTTGAGACAGTCTCTTGTCACCCAGACTGGAATGCAGTGGCATGATCATGGCTTACTGCAGCCCCCACCTCCCTGCCTCAAGTGATCCTCCTGCCTCAACCTCCCGAGTAGCTGGAACTAAAGGCATATGCCACCACACACGGCTTTAAAATTTTTTTTTTTAAGACGTTGTCCATGTTGCCCAGGCTGGTCTCAAACTCATGAGCTCAAGCTCCATGACATTGATCTGGGCAATGACATTTTGGATTTTACTCTAAAAACACAGACAACAAAAGCAAAAATAGACAAATGAGATGACAGCAAAGTGAGAAGCTTCTGCACAGCAAAGGATACAGTGAACAGAGTGGAGAGAAAACCTACAGGATGGGAGAAAATATTTGCAAACCACACATCTAACAAGGGGCTACTATCCAAAAAATATACAGAATTCAGACAACTCAATAGCAAGAAACAAAGAAATTGGAGGCTGGGCGTGGTGGCTCAAGCCTGTAATCCCAGCACTTTGGGAGGCCGAGGTGGGTGGATCACGAGGTCGAGAGATCAAGACCATCCTGGCTAACATGGTGAAATCCCATCCTACTAAAACAACAAAAATTAGCTGGGTGTGGTGGTGGGCACATGTAGTCCCAGGTACTTGGGAGGCTGAGGCAGGAGAAATGCTTGAACCCGGGAGGCAGAGTTTGCAGTGAGCCGAGATTGCACCACTGCACTCCAGCCTGGCAACAGAGCAAGACTCCGTCTCAAAAACAAACAAACAAACAAATAAGCAAAAAACAACTGAAAATGGGCAAAGGACTTGAATAGTCATTTCTCAAAAGAAGACATACAAATGACCAACTGGTGTCTGAAAAAAATGCTCAAATCACTAATCAGGGAAATGCAAATCAAAACCACAAGATATTTCCTCACATCTTTCAGAATGACTGTTACCAAAAACACAAGAGATAAGTGTTGGTGAGGCTGTGGAGAAAAGGGCACTTTGCACATTTTTGGGAATGTGATTAGTACAGCCATTATGGAATACAGTATGGAGGTTCCTCAGAAAATTAAAAATAGAACTACCATGTGATCCAGCAATTTAATTCTGGGTATATATCCAAAAGAAATGAAATCGGTACTTCTGCACTCCCATGTTCATTTCACCATTATTCACTATAGCCAAGATACGGAATCTTGGCTAAGTGCCTAAGTGCCCATCAACGGATGAATGGATTAAAAATGTGGTAAATATACACAGTGGAGTACTATTCAGCCATAAAATGAGGGAAATCCTGTCATTTGTGACAACATGGATGAACCTGTGGGCCGTTATGCTAAGTGAAATGAACCAGATGCACAAAGACAAATACCACATATTCTCACTTATATGTGGAAGCTAAAATGATAGAACTTAAAGAAACAGAGAGTAGAATTATGGTGACCAGAGGCTGGGGTGGCTGAGATTGGGGAGGGCAGCATATATGTTAATCAAAGGATATAAAATTTCAGTTGGATAGAAGGAATAAATTTAGTAGATCTAACCTACTACACAATTACACTTAATCACTTATTATACTCTTAAGAAATGCTTGAGAGTAGGTGTTAAGTGTTTCAATCACAAAAATGATCAAAGTGAGTGATAATACATATGTTAATTAGCTAGATGTAGTCATTCCACAATGTATATATGCTTCAAAACATAATGTTCTACACGGTAAATACATACAACTTAAATCTTTTTTTGCATTAAAAAGAAAGGAATATTTCCTTATTTTTCTTCCCAGCCTACTGAAAGATGGGATGGGTAACAATCTGAGTTGTTAAAAAAAAGCTCCATTATATAGATAGGACACCAAATGTTTGCCTTGCCTTTCCTCTCAGCCTTGGGCCATAGGAAGCCAGTTAGTAACAGTCTATCCGGAGTTCCTGATGTAGGGAGATTAAAATATTTCATAATCTTTCAAGTTTCATCAGAATTCATTTTCTAAATTTTAGTTTAGGTTAAAATTCTTCCATAAAGATTAAAGACCCTAAAGAAATCAAGCCCCATGCTTTTATTTTACACAATGTAGCATTTTGATGAAATTTCCTGTACAATAAATGTCATGGTATATGGGTAGGTGATTGGATGGTTTCAATTATCACTATTAACTGTTATTCACCAAGTCCTACTAATATTTCCTTTATGTTTAATGCATTTAAAGAAAAATAACTTTGTTCTGAGCAGAAGACAGTTAGCTTTGCTTCACTACTTAAAATTAAGCTGCATCATTTTTACCTATGTAGATTTTGTACACTGTGTTCAGACATAGGACCATATAAAATTATATTTGAGCCATTATATAAAGTAAGACATTATTGTTCATCTAATAGAAATCTCTAATAGAAAATAACAGAAACATATTGTTGGATTATACATATCTCCTAGAAAATGCCTATACCACTATATTCTGAATGAGCTAAAATAATAAAGATTCATAACTCTATATAATGTCCAGATAGTCTTGTTTTGACTTCCTAATTTATTTGCTTTCATATTCCTTGATTTTATTGCTCTTTGCATATACCCTGGAATAAGTACAGTATATTTCATTTTGATTTTTAAAGAGAAGCTTATACTTTTTGTGCTATAAAATCCAGTAACGTCCAGTTTCCAAGCTATGACATTTTTATGAGTAATTTTTGATATTTAATCAGATTTGACATTTGAGAGTTTAATTTTATGAGCATGGAAGTGACAGAAATCATATTATTTCTGATAGTAAATTCTTATAGACATTCCTTCAATGTTATTTATTAAATCTAAAAAGCACTTATTTAAAAATCTGAGACTAGGTGCAAGAATAGCTAAAATCTCTTATACAGTTATTAATATTTTCTTAGAAAATGGTATGTTTGGAATAATACTATAATACATTATTTCATTGTATACATTAAAATTTAACTGTGTTTATTTGTCTTTTTTCTGCTATAGAACTTAACTCCAAGAAAAAGTATTTGTTTTCTTTTTTAAGTTCTGGAAATGCTTTAATTGGACCTTTAATGTTAAATATCCATTTCAGTGAACAGATTCCATAGTACTGGACATAATAAAAATTTTTAAAAACTTAGTTGTTGGCCGGGTGCGGTGGCTCACGCCTGTAATCCCAGCACTTTGGGAGGCCAAGGCGGGAGGATCATGAGGTCAGGAGATCGAGACCATCCTGGCTAACACGGTGAAACCCCGTCTCTACTAAAAGTACAAAAAATGAGCTGGGCGTGGTGGTGGGCGCCTGTAGTCCCAGCTACTCGGGAGGCTGAGGCAGGAGAATGGCGTGAACCCAGGAGGTGGAGGTTGCAGTGAGCCGAGATTGCGCCACTGCACTCCAGCCTGGGTGACAGAGCGAGACTCCATCTCAAAAAAACAAAACAAAACAAAACAAAACAGAACAAAACAAAAAAACTTACTTTTTTAAAATTTAACTTTTAAGTTCAGGGGTACATGTGTAGGTTTGTTATATAGGTAAATTGTGTCACAGGGGTTTGTTGTACAGATTATGTCATCACCCAGGTATTAAGCCTAGTACCCATTAGTTATTTTTCCTGATCCTCTTCCTCCTCTCACCCTCCACCCTCTGATAAATTATTCCAATTTTATAAAGGATAAAATTTACCTGGTTTAAAAGTTTTGTGTTCAAGAGTTGTTTAGGACTTGTGTGCCTAACACAATAGTTACTTGTAGTGGGATTTTTAAGGAATCAGAGAGATTGATGGGGTTCAGGAGGATATTTATTAATTATTTAGGTGCACTGGCCCAGTCAGATTAATATTCAAAGGACTGGGATTATAGATTTGAGCCATCGTGCCCGGCCCTAAACTTTTTAATCATACAAGTTTTATGCTCTGTACAGTTCCTCCTGTTTCCACTTAATTTTACCTACTTAGCCAAATGCCCAGTAGTCATTTTATCCTTTGGATGTTTCGGGTAATCTCTCACCTTCTTCCAATTCTTTTTTGTTCATTAACTTTTTTCCACAGGGTCTTTAAATATATATGTGTCTCTGTACTTAATACTTCAGCTCCTCAGTCAACAAACTGTTCTTCAGTTCTTTTCCCTGTGACAAAATACATGCATTTCATATTTACAATCTGGCAAGTATAATTTCGTTTATACATTAGCCTATTTACAATTGATATTGTACAATCAAACTCCATTTAACACCATTTGATATTGAATTGCAGTAGTTTAAATGGGCAAACTTATTTGATCATATTAAATTTGAGTGCATACTTATTTTATGAAATTTGAACACTCCTTAAAATAGAGAATAATATCACATTTTAATTTGAAAACATCAATAGTTACTGAAAGCATTTTAACTATGAAAATATGTGTGTAACAGTTGCAAAGGCATGGAATCAATCTAAATGCCCATCGATGGTAGACTGGATAAATAAAACGTGGCACATATACACCATGAAATACCATGCAGCCATAAAAAAGAACCAGATCATGTTCTCTGCAGGAACATGGATGGAGCTGGAGGTCATTATCCTTAGCAAACTAACATAGGAACAGAAAACCAAATACTGCATGTTCTCATTTACAAGTGGGAACTAAATGATGAGAATATATGAACACATAGAGGGGAACAACACACACTGGGGCCTATCAGAGAGTGGAGGGTGGGAGGAGGGAGAGGAGCAGGAAAAATAACTATTGGGTACTAGGCTTAGTATCTGGGTGACAAAATAATCTGTACAACAAACCCCTGTGACATGATTTCACCTGTGTAACAAACCTGCACATGTGCCCCTGAACTTAAGATGAAAGTTAAAATAAATAAATAGGCCGGGCGCAGTGGCTCACATCTGTAATCCCAGCACTTTGGGAGGCCAAGGTGGATGGATCACGAGGTCAGGAGATCGAGACCATCCTGGCTAACACGGTGAAACCCCGTCTCTACTAAAAATACAAAAAATTAGCCAGGCGTGGTGGCACACGCCTGTAGTCCCAGCTACTCGGGAGGCTGAGGCAGGAGAATGGCGTGAACCTGGGAGGCAGAGCTTGCAGTGAGCCAAGATTGTGCCACTGCACTCCAGCCTGGGCGACAGAGTGAGACTCCGTCTCAAAAAATAAATAAATAAATAAATTAAATTAAATAAAAAATAAATAAATAAAAGAAAGTCTGACTAAACTAAAACGTGTATAAACAGCCTCCCAAAGTGCTGGGATTCCAGGCATGAGCCACCTTGCCCGGCCAGCTAGCATAATATTTTTACATAATTTTTTGCTGGTAGAATTTTCACATGGCATTATGACAGTAGCACTTTCCTTGTGTAGGTATTTAAGATTGTGTGCTGAAAAATTAATAGCATAAACATACTTTAAATTAGATAGAGATGACTAAGGGGTGTCAAGAAAGGGAGGCAGAGCCCGGGGTGCAGGCCCTCCTCTCCTTGGGGACAAGAAGAAGTCAGGGCCAGGCCTCCTGGGCAGTTGCAGGCTGGCACGTCTGCCTTGCACCCCACCTGGCCCCAAATTCCCCTTGTGGGACCTCAGGAGGGGCCCCGCTTCTACTCTGCTGGATGAGGAGTTCTTTCCTGCTGCCTGATGTTCTGGATCCTGAGCCCACACCCAGGCCCTGGCAGGGCTGAGTCTCCTCTCCCTGCAGCCCCCAAGGCCAGCAGGCCCCAGGCTTCAACTCTGTCCTCTACTGGACGACCCTCTGGTCAGGTTCCTGGACGTGCACGTGGGAAAAGATATACATCCATGGGCATGTGTGTCCACATATGTGGAGACAGGTGTGTGCATGTGTGCAAGTGTGCAGGGTGCACCCATGTAAGATCCCCTACAGACGTTTTTCTCAGGATAAGGCTGTATCCCCCCATGGTGTCAGGTCTCCACTCAAGCTCCCCAAGGGTGGGGTGGAGAGACAGGGGAGAAGTGGTTCAGATTCTGGGAACTGCCATCTCAGATGGGCCTCGAGGCCGTCACAGAGCTGAGCTAGACATTCAGCTTGTGCACGTCAGCCAAGGTCTGGCCAGAGTGGTCCCTGGGAAGTGTGGGGAGGGGGCTATTCAGACCCACCCGCTTACCTCTTCATTCTCCTGAAAGACAGTCACAGGAGCTTGTTTGCCACCAAAAGTTCCACGCACCCCTCGCCCCCAGCCTCTCCCTCCTTATCAGTTCCCTTCCCTGGGTATAGGCGTGAGGGTGCAGCCTGGGTATCTGCTAGCCACAGAGACGGGACCCGTCTGCACCCTGGGGAGCTCCCTGTGGCCAACTGCAGGTTTGTCAGCCCCTGACGAGGGTGGGTGGCAGGCAGCACCTGGTCCCTAGGTCCAGGTTAGCTCTCCTGGGCTGGCTGCCCCTGCTCCCAGGCTCCCCCCACCACCTCCCCCTCAGCAGGCCGGCTCTGGACATAGCGGTTGGCTGAGTCTGAGCCAGACCCTGTCTTGGCAGCTCTCCATCCTGCCTGCGAGGGCGACTTCACTTTGACTTCAAATCTGCAGACTGATGTGCAGATTGCAGATTCAGCCCTGAGCCCCACCAGGTTCCAGGTTCCTGGTTTCTGGACGTGCACGTGGGACACAGCAAGGACACGAGCAGCTGGCCCGGGGGCACCCCAGGCTCAGGTTCCTAGGCCCTCCCACCCCAAGGCCGCATGGGCTTCCCTTCCTCCATCCCTCTGTGCCTAGATGCAGGCCGGACCTCAAGAGGCAGCTAGGGGATGGGGAGAGAACAGAGGACTTTCCCCACAAAGGCCCAAAACCCACTTCCAACCTCAGCCCACAACCCCCCAGCGCAGGCCCCCTGGCTTCTCCTTGTGAGGTGAATATGTTCATGGCTATCATTTATTTGGGGGAAACTAGAGTCTTTGGGGCTCCAGTTCCTCTCTGTTGCGCGCTCTCCTCTGCTGCCCGCTCTCCTCTGCCGCCCGCTCTCCTCTGCCGCCCGCTCTCCTCTGCCGCCCGCTCTCCTCTGCCGCCCGCTCTCCTCTGCCGCCCGCTCTCCTCTGCCGCCCGCTCTCCTCTGCCGCCCGCTCTCCTCTGCCGCCCGTCCCACATCCTAAGAGTGCGCTTGTGTAGAGGGGGGGAAGGGCGCCCACCCTTACAGCTTCCCCCGTGAGGCTGAAAGGTGCCCAATTCTCCCATAGACCCGATGTATACAGCTTCCTTGAATAAACAGAGAAATCGATCCTGTTACTCTTAAAGAAAGTTACATTTGTTTCATCTGAGTTCCCTGAAACTTACCAGCCCAGGACCTGACAGTGAGAAGCCAGCCCCTCAGCCCCTATGATTGTCTAAGCCACCACCTGCTGCCGGGTGACCAACTCCTCTTCCTCGCCCCTCCCCATTTCCTGTTTTTCCACACATGGTTACATTTCTGCAGGACCCCCAGCCTATCCACTAACCTGGATGTTGAGAAAGGGCTCTCTTGGCCCCCTTCCCTGCCCAGCTCTTTCCGTCCTCCTGCCTCTGCCCGGTCCCCACCCCTTCCGCAGAGACCCAGCTCCACAGGGCCTGGGCCTCTGAAAACTCGCGGGGGTGGGGGGTGGTGCGCTCTACCAGGGGAACCTGGGGAGGCGGGGCGGTTCTCCAAGTCCCCTTGGTCGCACCCCCAGCCATTCCCGATCTTGCATACCCGCGAGGCTTCCCTGCCCTCTGTGCAGCCAAAAGAGGTAAATGCACGACTTGCAAGCTGGCGCACCAGGTGAAAAGAGCGGCTGCGCCTGCAGAGGTACGGGGACCCAGGCTACTGGTGGCCTTTCCAGCATGAGGTTTCGATCCTACCCGCGTCCTGCACCCTACTCCTGCTGGCACCCGGCTCCTACCAACGCCCTGCCCTGTCCTAACCGCGCCCCGCCCCACCGGCACCCTGCTCCTACCGCTCTGCTCTACCCACACCCGGCCCTGCCAGCACCACGTCTTACCCGCCCCCCGCCCCACAATCACCCTGCCCCTACCGCACTCCGTCGCATCCTCCCACGCGCCTCCAGGACCCCGATCCTACCCGCACCCCGCGCCTACACGCTTCTCCCCACCAGTACCCCGCCGTGCCGTGCCCCGTCAGCATCCTGCTCCACCCGGACCCCTCTTCTACCTGGGCCCTGCGTCATCAGCACTCAGTTCCTACCCACACTCTCCTCCTTCCTGGGCCTGGCCCAGCTGTCATCCTGCTCCTACCCACACCCCGCTCCTACCTTTGTCCAGCCCCGGAGCACCTAGCTCCTACATGGACCTTTCTCCTACCTGCTGCCCTGCCTGGCAGCACCGCATCCTACAGGCGCCCCAATCCGCCAGCACCCAACTGCTACCAGTCCTACAGCACCTCCTACCCAACTGCTACCATCCTACACATGCTCGCCCCGCCAGAACCCCAGTCTTACCCGCACTCCACTCCCACCCATGCCATGCCCCGCCAGCACCCTGCTTCTACCTGCGTTCTGCTCCTTCCAGCTCCGTGCCCTGCCAGCACCCCATCCTACACATGCCTAGCCCAGCAATCACCCTACTCCTACTTGAACCCGGCTCCTACTCGCAGCCCACTGCTACACATGCCCCACCACTCCAGCGCCAGCCCCTACCTGAACCCTGCTCCTACCCACACCCTGCCCTACCAGTACCCCATACCACCCATGCCCCACCCCACCAGCACCCCAATATTACCCACACCTAGCTCCTACCTACAACCTGCTCCTATCTGTGCCCCACCCCACCAGCACCCGACTCCTAGGAGCACCCTGCTCTGACTCGCCCCCCACACCTACCCCCACCCCTGCCCCACCAGCACCCCACTCCTACTGGAGCCCATCCGCACTGCACCCTGGTCCTGCCTGCACCATGATCCTACCCCTGCCCAGCTCCTGCCCGCTTGATGTCTTCAGACTATTAACGTTTAGACAACCACACAATCCATTAGATCCATTCAAAATGTTTCTTGATAAACTATTTATGACATGAAAGTCACACACAACATGTTGCAGGAAACTGAGGACTGGAGAGACTGATATGAGAGTACAGGAGGATTGTTTATTTTAGGTACACATTGGCTCAGTGGATTCGCATCCAAAAAGCTGAGCATTAAACAAAGACAGAGCGGGGTTTTTGTAAGTGGACTTACAATAAATAAAACAAAAGCAGCTAATCATATGACAGGTCACATAATCTAGAGCATAGCACAACTTGTGGCCTTGCATAGCCAGTGGCCTTGTAGCTGCATTGAAAGAAAAACAGGAACTGGCTAAATACGGACATTTGTAAAACATAATCATGCTTAAGAAGGCTGGGGAAAGAGTAACAGTAAAATAAATTGTCTTTTTCTTTTTTTTCCTTCATCCTTGCTCTGGAAGAGGGGGTGTCTGGAGCCCATTCCTTTGGCCTTGGCTTCTCAAACAGCCTTATCTAATAACTGTCCTTGAAGTGAGCTGCTAAGCAGAGGAAAACTTGTTCTTTTCTTTTTAACCCTTGCCTTGCCTGTTACTTTTCTTGGAGTGAATAATTGCATATTTATTTTTAAATTTCTGCCTCACACAAACAAAATATGCTGGAATTTAATTTAAAATTAAAGAAAGAGATCTAGGAAATAAGTCACCAAATTCTCAAAAATACATTTATTAGAGTAACATGTAATTTTTAAAAGTAGTTTTAGACAAAATGTAGTTTTAGACAAATCAAGACAATTTTATTTATGGCACATGAAATTCCATAGTCTTGTGCCTAACACTTTACAATGAGAACTTTTGTTAACCAGGACACATTATTTTCTATGTTCATTTTTTTGACACATAGATTTATGTTTCCCTCCTAGACTTTCTTGCAAAAATGCCTGTTTGGGATTCCTCAGAGTACAGACAAAAAGGAAGGCTTGATCAGCATGTGGTGGATCTGAAGATTCAAAGAGGTGCCACAGCTCAAAAGTAGACATTTTGGTAAATGTGAAGAAGTGAGATTCAATGAAGATGATAAGAAATGAAAAGTGTTACCAAAAGTGAGTATGTATAGCTATGCTTGTCACACAAAGTAGGCTTTAAGTCAAAAAAGCACAAAAATAGAAAATAAAGGTCATTATAAAACGATAAAGAGATCAATTCAGCAAGAAGGTAGGACAGTTGTCAATGTAAACACACCTGACACAGGAGCCCCAGTTATTAAAGTAAGAGTTATTCGAGCAACAGACAGAGACAGACAATAATAGCTGGGGACTCCAACACCCACTTTCAGCAACAGACACACCCTCTAGGCAGAAAAGTAACAGACCAGACTGACTCCAAGAGAAGTCAAAGGGACCTCACAGGTAATTACAGAACATTTCACCCACCAACTGCAGAACGTGCATTCTTCTCATCAGCTCACAGAACATTCTCCAGGATAGACCACATTTTAGGCCACAAAACAAATCTCAAAAGAGCATTTAAAAAGTGAAAATCATAGCAAGTATCTCAGACCAAAGAGAAACATTGGAAACTCTCCAGGTACATGGTATATAAATAATGGTAATGGTCAGTGAAAAAATCAAAAGGACAAAAACATTTCTTGGAAAAAAAAGGAAACGAGAGAAAAAATGCATATAGTAGGTGTTTTTGAAGTAAAAAATGCAGAACAATAAAATTCAAAGATACAATGAAAGAAACATTTTCTGAACTAAAAATTGATTTGAATATGTTTTCTTTCATTGGTAACAAAATGACTGGCAGGGAAAGGTGACGTCCCTGATTAGATAACTTTTTTTTTTGGGACGGAGTCTTACTCTGCCACCCAAGCAATTCTCCTACCTCAGCCTCCCGAGTAGCTGGGATTACAGTCATGCGCCACCACGCCCAGCTAATTTGCTGTATTTTTAGTAGAGATGGGGTTTCACCATGTTGGCCAGGCCGGTCTCAAACTCCTGACCTCAGGTGATCCACCCACCTTGGACTCCCAAAGTGCTGGGATTATAGGTCTGAGCCACCATCACACCCAGCCGATTAGATAGGCTTTTAAAGCCGCAGCGGAAGGGGCAGCAATGTCTGTAACCGGTGGCCAAACAGTATTAAACTCCTGGGTTGTTTTGGGAGGAGTCACTACAACTACAGCCCAACTACATTTATTATGCCAGATAACACAGTGCTGGGGGGACATACTGGAGTTGACAAGATCCCCTGGGGGCACAAGTGGCAATGGCTGTGCACCAGTGGCTGGATATTCCTGAAAAATGAAATAAACATAAACTGTGGTCACCGAAGAAGATGTAGAATTAATGTACCAAAAAGCATTGATGAACATGGTCCAGGTCAACAGGAAAGCTGCAGGAATCATGTACACGTTCAATGCCCACGCAGCCATTGACATCACTGGTTTCAGGGTTTGGGAACAGGTACAGAATATGACCAGGCAGCAGAGGTGCTCTCTTTTTAAAAGTGCTTTCATGGGCAGGCATGGTGGCTCATGCCTGTAATCCCAGCACTATGGGAGGCCGAGGCAGGCAGATCACCGGAGGTTGTGAGTTCAAGACCAGCCTGACCAACATGGAGAAACTCTGTCTCTACTAAAAATACAGAAAAGTAGCCAGGCATGGTGGCACATGCCTGTAATCCCAGCTACTCGGGAGGCTGAAGTAGGAGAATTGCTTGAACCCGGGAGGCGGAGGTTGCGGTGAGCAGAGATCATGCCATTGCACTCCAGCCTGGGCAACAAGAGCGAAACTCAGTCTCAAAATAAAAAATAAAATAAAAGTGCTTTCACATATGTCAGGCATTACCAATAGTAGTGTCAAATAGCAGTTGGTGTCTTTTCATTTTATGTATGTTTATCATATGTCTGATCTTTTTTTAGTGTCTTGAATGGTTTTCTGGAAAGACAGTATTGGCAAGTGGCACAGGATGGTATCCCAATTGTAAGAGGGTTGCATGATTCCTTTGTCTTTGATTTGAAAAGCCTAGTCTTGGACCCGGCTCAGTGGCTCACGCCTGTAATCCTAGCACTTTGGGAAGCCCAGGGAGGTGGATCACGAGGTCAAGAGATCGAGACCATCCTGGCCAACATGGTGAAACCCCGTCTCTACTAAAAACACAAAATTTAGCCGGGAGTGGTGGTGGGTGCCTGTAGTCCCAGCGACTCGGGAGGCTGGGGCAGGAGAATCACTTGAACCCAGGGGGCAGAGGTTGCAGTGAGCCGAGATTGCACCACTGCACCCCAGCCTGGTGAGAGAGTGAGACTCCGTCTCAAAAAAAAAAAAAAAAAAAGAAAAAGAAAGAAAAGCCTAGTTTTGTCACTCAAGAGCATCTCACACCCAGGACATTTTCTAGTACTGCATTCTGTTCAACACAGTAACTGCTTCACTGCGTAAAAAACACTTTGAAGACAAAAAGGAATCTTTTTTTTTGTAGTCTTCCTGATATTTACAGTAATACTATTAACTATTTATTGACAGCAAAGACGAGATTATTTGCAAAGTGATGTAATTAGGATTTTTTTTTTTTTCCGAGATGAAGTCTCACTCTGTTGCCAGGGCTGGAGTGCAATGGCGCGATCTCGGCTCACGGCAACCTCCACCTTCCAGGTTCAAGCGATTCTCCTGCCTCAGCCTCCCGAATAGCTGGGATTACAGGCGTCCGCCACTACACCCAGCTAATTTTTTGTATTTTTAGAAGAGATGGGGTTTCACCATGTTTGCCAGGCTAGTCTCAAACTCCTGACCTCGTGATTCACCCGCCTCGGCCTCCCAAAGTGCTGGGATTACAGGCGTCAGCCACTGCGCCCGGCTGGTTTTTTTTTTTGTTTTTTTTTTTTTGACCAAGTTTTGCTCTTGTTGCTCGGGCCAGAGTGCGGTGGCACAATCTCAGCTCACTGCCACCTCTGCCTCCCGGGTTCAAGCGATTCTCCTGCCTCAGCCTCGCTAAGGAGCTGGGACTGCAGGCACCTGCCACCATGCCCGGCTAATTTTTATAGTGACAGGTTTTCGCCATGTTCGGCAGGCTGGTCTCCAACTCCTGACCTCAGTTGATCTGCCTATCTTGGCCTCCCAAAGTGCTGGAATTACAGGCATGAGCCACCGCGCCCAGCTGAAATTAGATGTTTTTTAGTGTAACAAGGAATTGCCTTCCAAAATGAAGTTCATGTATTATGCTCATTTGCAATATATAATTAACTGTGCAAAATGATTTTTAAATATAGTCAATAACAAAGATTGTTCTGTATATGGTAGTGTTTAATACCTTTTTTTTTTTTCCCTGAGACGGAGTCTCACCTGTAGCCCAGGCTGGAGTGCAATAGCATGATCTCGGCTCACTGCAACCTCCTCCTCCTGGGTTCGAGAAATTATTCTGCCTCAGCCTCCCAGGTAGCTGGGACTACAGGCATGTGTCACCACACCCAGCTAATTTTTTATTTTTAGTAGAGATGGAGTTTCACCATGTTGGCCAGGCTGGTCTTGAACTCCTGACCTCAGGTGATTCTCCTGTCTTGGCCTCCCAAAGTTCTGGAATTACAGGAATGAGCCACTGCATCCGGCCAATACATTTTTTAAAATCTTGTATATTGATTTCAGGCCTGTTTTCTTAACAGTAGCAGCTATTTCGCTTAATTCTGAGCAGTGTTTTGTTCTCTGGGCCAGTAGGATTTTATGCATGCTTTTTGTGATCCGTGTTCAAAATCTGGATTGCCAACATTGCAGCTCCAATGTAAGCTTGTTATTCAAATAAATATTTAATTTTTAAACTTGCTCCTGTATGGCTGGGTGCAATGGCTCATGCCTGTAATCCCAGCATTTTGGGAGGCTGAGGTGGGTGGATCACCTGAGGTCAGGAGTTCGAGACCAGCCTGGTCAACATGGTGAAACCTTGTCTCTATAGGTTCAAGCGATTCTCCTGCCTCAGCCTCCCATGTAGCTGGGATTACAGGTGCCAGCCACCACACCTGGCTAACTTTTTGTATTTTCAGTAAAGACGGGGTTTCACCATGTTGGCCAGGCAAACTCCTGACCTCAGGTGATCCACCCTCCTCGGCCTCCCAAAGTGCTGAAATTACAGGTGTGAGCCGCTGCTCCCAGCTGGGATACACATATTTAAAGTTGTTACCAAACTTCAAGGATCAAAGAAAGATTCCTAAGGAGGGTACATCTGAGAAAAGAAAAAGTTCTGTTCAAATAAATATTTTTCCGAGAGTTTTCCATAGCAATGTTTAATGCTAGAAAAAATGGAATAATATGACACATATGTGTGTATACTGTACATATAACTAAAGACATATAAAATGGTCTGAAATTACAATGCACAAAGCCAATAGCATTAGTTACTTCTGAAAAATGTACTGGAATTGAAAAGAAGACATTGGTCTTGTGTAAAATTTTAATTTTTTAAACAGAATATGAAACAATATTAATAATAACCACCACAACAATAAGAACAATGCTGAAGCAACCTCTTCCAAGTTATCAGGACAAGACCATGTGATCCAAACAGGTATGTTCAAGTTGTTTTTTAAGTAGAAGGAAGCAAACCTCATTTTCAAATATACAAGGAGAGACCCATCTCATGAAATAATTTCGATAAGCAAGAAATGACTGGAGAAGCCATGACTTTTAAAAAATTGATAGTAAGCAACCAATCCATTATAAAATTGTTAGACGATTATAAAAATGATTATAGAATTACATGCTGTAATTCCTCAAGGAAGAATATGGTGGGTGAGTTCTTATATATGTAACATTGATAAATGTGAATGATGTCTTACAATTTAAATTATGCCAAAAGAAGTAATGTGTTTTTGATGGTGTTATCAGATTAGATTCTTCCAGAAAGGTTGAAGGATCTTTCGGAAAGATTCGAACATTAAACAAACCAGAGAATAAGGTAATAGATAGCCATTGTAGGTTCCTGGATGGTATGGCAGATTATATTACTCTCAAGAAGCATTTGTTCCCTCCCCACCCCCAACGCTGCCTGCATGTACTACCCCATTTCATTAATGTTGGACTTCACCAGGTGACTTTCTTTGCTCAGTGTAGCATTAGCAGACTTGGTTCTGCCATTACTGTTACAAGAATAATGGAAAGCTGACCATTCTTCTTCTTTAGTTCCAAAAGTAAAAATAAAATGAGTGTTAAGAGACAGAATACAAGCCACAGACTAGGAGAAAATATTTGCAAAACACATGTCTGATAAAGGGCTTATATCTAAACTAGACAGAAAATTCTTAACAATTAAAAAACAATTTAAAAGTGAGAAAAAGATCTGAAGAGACATCTGAACAAAGAAAATACACAAGAGACAAATCAGCAAATAAAAAGATTCTCAGCCAGTTGCGGTGGCTCGTACCTTTAATCCCAGAACTTTGGGAGGCCAAGGTGGGCAGATCACCTGAGGTCAGGAGTTTGAGACCAGCCTGGTCAACATGGTGAAACCCTGTCTCCACTAAAAATATAAAAATTTGCTGGGAGTGGTGGCATGCACCTGTAATTGCAGCTACTTGGGAGGCTGAGGCAGGAGAACTGCTTGAACCCAGGAGGCGGAGGTTGCAGTGAGCAGTGATCACACCATTGCACTCCAGCCCAGGCAACAGAGTGAGACTCCACCTCAAAAGAAAAAATAAGGCAATTTTACAGTAAATACGAAATCTCATTTCTGAGGGCCCCCCCCACCTCCAGTTAGGTGATCCATTTGGTATGGTTGGGAGATGTGACACTCAAGGCTGGTATACCACGTGGTTACTGATTGAGAAATGTACATCACTGGGAAGAATGGATGGACTGCATGTTCTCTATGCAGCTATCAGTACACCTCTCTCTAAGCTGGCTTTTGAAAAATATGGCTGTGGGTTTGAGGTGATAACACTACCCCCTCTCCAGCAGCTCCTGTGTCGTGGTGCACGTATCAGGTGGTCTTTGTAGCCAGTGAAGATAGAATCCGGATTGGAATATATGTTAAACAAAGGCTGAATCAGGACATGTGCCAAGCTGAAGACTTTTCCAGTTCTGTACAACTGAGCCTCAACAGTGTGTTATGACAAAATTGTTCTCCAAACATTAATTTGTGGTCTGCTCCCATACACAAACAATACCAAATAATGGACTATGTGTCCATCTTGTCCATCTTTGACACTGTGTTCTACCAAGAGAGACACCTCCCAAAGCCAGAAAATGTTTATTAAACAAAATCAATGAAATGTCTGCGCACAGTCCAGGTGGCAGAGGTTTACTTCTTGAATAAATGACTTCATCTTTTAACACCATTTCACACTGAAGTCCAAATGGCCTCACAAATATTTCCTGGATCCTAACAAAGAAAATAATCTCAGTTGAAGATCCTGTATTCAATTATTTTGGCAACTATTTCTTACGTGTTTTCTTTTTCTTTCTTTTCTTTTTTTTTTTGAGAAGGAGTCTCGCTCTGTTGCCTAGGCTGGAGTGCAGTAGCACGATCTCAGCTCACTGCAAGCTCCGCCTCCTGGCTTCACGTCATTCTCCTGCCTCAGCCTCCCGAGTAGCTGGGACTAGAGGTGCCTGCCACCATGCCCAGCTAATTTTTTTTTTTTTTTGTATTTTTAGTAGAGATGGGGTTTCACCGTGTTAGCCAGGACGGTCTCGATCTCCTGACCTCCTGACCTCGTGATCCGCCCACCTCAGCCTCCCAAAGTGCTGGGATTACAGGCGTGAGCAACCGTGCTCGGTCATCTTACATATTTTCTTTGTCTAAATGACTGAGCTGGGTGCTGAGGAGATGATGTTGGCCAGGATGGTCTCTATCTCCTGACCTCATGATCTGCCCGCCTTGGTCTCCCAAAATGCTGAGATTACAGGCGTGAGCCACTTTGCCCAGCCAAGATTGAAATCTTGATGAAAAAAAGCAGTTTGGAAACTTACCTGTTTTTTATTCAAAGCCCGTCCTCTCCTTCTTGTTCATGAATGGCAGGCATCCTGTGGTGACTGAAGAAGGGCCTACCAGCGAAGGGACTCCATCGCCTGAGGAGCAGCTTCCGCAGGAGCTCCGGCAGGTTCCTTGGAAAACGTGGCAGTGCCGGGCCCATGGTGCCCTGTTCAGAAATACAAGACTCAGATTTAGTAAAGCCAGTTGTGTAATGTGAAATTCGTTTAAAAAATCCTTAACCAACACATTTCATTTCATAAGACCGATGTATTCTATCAACAGTCTTTTACTGTATGTTCATACTTAACGGCATTAAGAATCACCGTGATGGGCTGGTGACATGCATCTGGTTCATCAATGTTAGTGGCAAAGCTTCCAGCATCTACAACTCTAGTCACCAAAATCAAGAATGTCTTTCTCTTCTCTTTTTACCTAATTACAAAAAAGGGATTGATTTATGAAAAGCAATATATTAACAAATAGCACAACTTATGTTCATATCATTGCCACTTCTAGCCACAAATTAGGAGTCAGGATTAAGGAAAACTTACCTAAGTTTTCCCAGGCTATTTTAAAATTGCTTTTTTTCTACAAAAATAAATGTTAAATTCTTCTTTTGAGGTAGTCTCAATTAAGTTGCTGCTAATTGGAAAAGACTATTAGATCTTAAGCTGAACTGACAATTTTATAAAATAAATAGACTTCCTTTTCTACTATTAGAATGTTCTAATAATGAGTTCTATTATTATAGTAATACTTCTGAATTCCCTTTTAAAATATTGTTACTATCTTGGCATTTTTCAGACTTAACCTGAAAATGTTTTAAATATCAAAATAGACATATCCGAAGTTTACAACAAGGGTGTACAATCATGATGGGCACACTTCCTCAAACATGGGGGACCAACCCAACTCAGACCCATCACACCCTCAGCGTGTGGAAATGTTAAACTATACAGGAACCATGGCTGGAGACAAAAATCTGTAGGTGTCCCTGACATAAAATGCCATAGTACTTGCCTGCAGCCTGGACACACCCTCCAATATCCTTCAAATCATCTCTAGATTACCCACAATACCTAATACAATGGAAATGCAACGTAAATGGTTGTTATACTTTATTGCATAAAGAATGACAAGAAAAAAAGCTTGTACATATTCAGTACAGATGCAACCATCCTTTTTTTTCTGGAATATTTTTGATCTGAGGTTGGTAGAAAGCAAGGATGCAGGACCCACAGATAAAGAGGGCTGACTGTATTTAACACACACACACATTTTCTTTTGCCTGAGTAAAAAACAAAATTGTACTTGTAACACAGCTAAAGGATGTCAACAAAACTGTTCTTTCCAACCTCAAATTGATAGAGACGACCTTCAAAGTCCACATAGAACCTCTTATTGCCTTTTGTATTTTTAGTAGAGACAGGGTTTCACCATGTTGGCCAGGCTGGTCTCAAACTCCTGACCGTGTGATCCATCTGCCTCAGCCTCCCAAAGTGCTGAGATTACAGGCGTGAGCCACCGCACCCGGCCATCTCTATTTCTTATACACAATAATATTATAACAAGAAAGATATAAATTTGCTTAATATGCAGCTTCTGTTTCTGAGTTCTGTAGCTGTCACTCAATAAGATAAGAAAGCTACTGATCTCACCAAATCAAGGACACAATACTGTTCCCTCAGGTAGCACAAATTGCATGGGCTCAAAATATGGGAAAGACAATCAATATTTTATGAAATGGTGTATTTTAAGGCTGACCTACAGATAGGAATTTTTTTTCCAATCCAAGCAATAAAGCTTTGATGTGGATGTTCACTCCACATCCTGTCCTGATCCTCAGCTGCCAGAGGCCAGCCTGCACTTGCCTTCACACTGCGTCTTCCTTCATGGCTTCAGGCTAAGATTGCCGGGAGCCTCCTATAAATGTGGTCATCTTATGGATTAAACACTTTTTTTGTTAGTTTTTTTTTGTGTTTTAGAGACAGGGCCCACTGTCATCCAGCCTGGAGTGCAGTGGTATGATCATAGCTTTCTACAACCTCTAACTCCTAAGCTCAAGTGATCCTCCCAACTCAGCCTCCTGCACAGCTAATTTTTAAATTTTTTTTTGTAGAAATGGGGTCTTGCTATTGTTGCCTAGGCTGGTGTCAAACTCCTGGTTTATAGTAACCCTCATACCTTGGCCTCTAAGAGTGCTGGGATTACAGGAGTGAGCCATCATGCCCAGCTTAGACTAAATACTTCTTTTTTTTTTTTTTTTTTTTTTCAGATGGAGTCTTGCTCTGTTGCCAGGCTGGAGTGCAGTGGCGCAATTTCAGCTCACTGTAGCCCCCACCTCCCAGGTTCAAGTGATTCTCCTGCCTCAGCCTCCCGAGTAGCTGGGACTACAGGCACGCGCCACCATGCTCAGCTAATTTTCGTGTTTTTAGTAGAGATGGGGTTTCACCATGTTGGCCAGGATGGTCTTGATCTCTTGACCTCATGATCCACCCACCCCGGCCTCCCAAAGTGCTGGGATTACAGGCGTGAGCCACTGTGCCTGGCCCAGATTAAATACTTCTTTAGAAGATGGACTAGAAATGGGTCATCAGAAATTGTTTTTACTTACATATGAAGAATTCCAATCTTCAAAAAATTTTAGAACTCAATCAGAACTTGAGAACTTCTTTCAGTAGGTGCTGTGATTCAATAACCAGAATTCTGCTTTACTTTATAGTTACACAAGTATTTCTGTCATTTTCCTACTAAATTACGTGAAGGGGGTTGTCTGCTTATGAGCTGCACCACCGAGCAGCATGCCTATCAGTGAGAAGGTGCCTGACAATTCTCAGTTGAAATGTCCTGACCAAGTTCCCCCAGAAATTTGTGAGTATTCAACTGTATTAAAACTAAATATATTGTTTTTAATGACAAATAGTCACTATTTAGTAAAATGATTACTGTGCTATAATAGAACAAGTCCTTAGCCCAAAATTAAATGGCCACAGATTGACATATGCATAAAGCTTATCAACTATCACATAACACATTTTAACAAAAATCAAGAAGACTAATAGATGATCTCTTCTTCTTTTTCTTTTGTGAGACAGGGTCTTGCTCTGTCACCCAGGCTGGAGTACAGTGGCACAATCATGGTTCACTGCAGCCTCCACCTCCTGGGTCCAAATGATCCTCCAACCTCAGCCTCCCAGGTAGCTGGGGTCTCAGTCGCATGCCACCATTCCCGCTTCGTGTGTGCGTGTGTGTGTGTGTGTGTGTGTGTGTGTGTGTGTGTGTGTGTAGAGTCTGGTCTCAAACTCCTGGGCTCAAGCAATTCTCCCTCTTTGGCCTCCCAAAATGCTAGGATTATAGGCATGAGCTAAATCGTACCAAAGAAATTATATTTTAAAAGTAAAGTCAAAGGTAGAATTTAAGAACAAAGGAATTCTATTTCTATACTTACTAGTCCCAGGTAGACAAACAACACGGCCTTCCTCAGCCTCTACCTGAGTCGTTTCAGACGAGTATGAGCCATGAGAAATCAGAGCTGTTATTTTCTGGTTGAAACTGACACTTTAGGCTACTGTTTTCATTTGCCTGTTGAAAGAATAACTTAGCTGTATTAATCATTTAAATTAAAATTAAACATTTGAAGGGAAAACATGGGGAGCAGACAACATCTACCTCACTCAAGGAGGCAGGTAATCAATGTAAAAGGAATGAGAAAAATCACCATTGGAACCACGGGTGTAAGCAATGTTTCCAAGAGCCTTCAGCAATGACGCTGAAACCAGCTCGTGAAGTTTGCCGGGGAGTAAGATGTTCACAGTGCTTTGATGTCTCATTCCACAGATGACTAATAACAAAAGGGAAAAGCTACCCTCACAAGGAGATGTCCAGTTGACACTATCTCAACCAAAATTATTAAACATAGCATCAGCAATCGTGGGACAAACAGACGCAAACATCTCCTGGTGTGAGGTGGTAAGTACGCAACACTGCCTAATCTGAATTAGGCATTATTCCCTGTTTAATCTGGATCCATTCATGAGAACACTGTTTAATCTGTATTCTTGCCAAAATGCTCAATCTATTCTAGTCAGAAGAAAAAAGCAACCAGATATATCTAGATTATGGGTCACTCCACAAAACAAAGAGCCTAGATTTTTCAAAATGTTTCATGTATTGAAAGAACTACTCCAAAGTAAAAGAATAGAGAGATGTGACAACCAAAGGCAAGGTTAATCTTTGATTAAACTGTGGATCTAAAACAAAAATAAAGAACATTTTGGAGACAATTAGGTAAATCTGAATATGGGCTGTACATCAAATTACTGTATTATAGTTAGATGGTAGAACTGTAATTACATAGAACATGTCATTATTCACAAGAGATAAATGCTGAAGTGTTGGGGTAAAACACCATGCTCTTTGCAACTTACTTTCAAATGATTCAGAGAAGAAAGTACTTATGGAAAGAGAAAGAAACTGCAAAAGGTGGCAAATGCTAGCCACTGGTTGATCTGAATGAAGAATATGCAGATGTCTATTGTTTTGCCTTTTAATTTTCTGTAGGCAAGGGAAAGATAGGAAGGAGGGAAGGTGCAGGCATTTCTTATCAATTCATACCTGTAAAAAACAGAGTTAAAAGAAAACCAAAGGCTTAAAATTCATGTAAACATCCAGTGAGATCAATAGTGATTTTCTGTCAAATTTCTGAAAAGCCATTAAGACTGTAACATACCTGACTAGGATCACCTGTAGGTAACTTAAAGTACTTTTTCTGGAGGTTCCAGTCCTTCTACTTCGTATGCTTTATTCCATCATTCCTGGAATTGCCAGTTGTTCAAAATAAACCTCTAAATGATCATCGTAAGACATTTCATCATCAATATCATCCTTTAATAAAATTAAGAAAAAATAAAACAGGCTCTAAGGCAGTGACTAAACAATAAATAATTTGTAATAAAAAGGGCTGAGATATAAATGAGTCAATAAAATTAAGAAAAAATAAAACAGGCTCTAAGGTAGTGACTGAACAATAAATAATTTGTAATAAAAAAGACTAAGACATAAATGAGTCAATAAAATTAAGAAAAAAATAAAGCAGGCTTTAAAGTAGTGACTAAACAATTTGTAATCAAAAATACCCATCAGACATAAATGAGTCAATAAAGTATACAATTTTTTTTTGAGATAGAGTCTTGTTCTATTATCCAGACTGAATGCAGTGGTGTGATCTCAGCTCACTGCAATCTTCACCTCCCAGGTTCAAGCCATCCTCCCACCTCAGCCTCCCGAGTAACTGGGACTACACGTGTGCACCACCTCGCCTGGATAATTTTTGTATTTTTTTTTGTAGAAATGGGGTTGTCCCATGTTGTCCAGGCTGGTCTTAAACTCCTGGACTCAAGCATTCCACCCACCTTGGCCTACCAAAGTGCTGGGATTACAGGTGTGAGCCACCTCGCCTGGCCTGTTTTATACTTGACATGAGAAAACTGTTATAACTTCAGTCAATTATAAGTCATTATAAAAAAATATTTAACCTCTTTGAGAGGACAGGACAGAAAGATCCTGACACGTTATCAAAGCTTAGGGTAGGATAAATGTGCCATCACAAATGAATGGGGAAGAGAGCAGGCCCTTCAGAAAATGGTGTGGCAAATGGTTACCTCTATCAAAAAAGTACAGACGAGCCTATCATAAGAGAAGTAAAAGGAAGAAAGGGAGGAGAGAGAGAGAAAGAGAGAAAAAGGGAGGGAGGACACTGCAGAAGGCTTCAATGTTGTAACACCCAGCTCGGCAAGGATAAGATAAACCAAGAGCTCTCAGTCATGGTCTAAGTTGGCACTGGCTTTTTTTTTTTTTTTCCGAGGTGGAGTCTCACTCTGTCACCTAGGCTGGAGTGCAGTGGCGTGATCTCGGCTCACTGCAAGCTCCACCTCCTGGGTTCACACCATTCTCCTGCCTCAGCCTCCTGAGTAGCTGGGACCACAGGCACCTGCCACCACATCGGGCTAACTTTTTGTATTTTTAGTAGAGACGGGGTTTCACCGTGTTAGCCAGGATGGTCTCAATCTCCTGACCTCGTGATCCGCCCGCCTCGGCCTCCCAAAGTGCTGGGATTACAGGCGTGAGCCAGTGCGCCCGGCCTACCTTTTTAGAGGTTAATTTTGCAATTAACATTAAGAGTCTCAAAAACACTCATCACCTTTGACTTAGCCATTTCACCTCCAATAATCTAGCATACTAAAACACTCTAAGATCAGATACATTTAGGTCAATAATTCTTTATCCACCAATTACACAATCCAAAAAAATTTTAAAAACTCTTTTGGCAGCACAAGCTGTCCTCAATAAATGTGATACTATTTGTAGTTTCTATTTATACCACTCAGCTGGCCTTCAAGCCATGCATACTTTTAATGTAAGTAGCCCCAGCCTACTTCTCTGGGCTTATTTACCAACGCAGCCTCCCACAGATGCTGTAAACCTGACACAGAAAGCCCCTGGCCGTTCCCCAAACACTGCCCACATGCCTCCCAGCAGCGCCTTTGCTGATACTGTTTCTGCTTCCTGACACGCCCTCCTTCTCGCACGTCTAAGGCCTGGCACGGGCCCCATCTCTTTTCGTAAAGCTTCAGCCATACCTGCCTCAGAGGTAAATTTCTGACCCCCATGATTCCCAGGCACATTTTGGTGCTGCTGGTTGTACACAACACAATCTGAAATGTGGTTCTGCATCTCTTCTTTGCACCTGGCTGAGGTCTCAGAGAGCAGAGGCTAAATATTTCATGGCTCCCTCAATTTCTAAACACAGTGCTGTATATTGAGTGGCACCTCTAGGTGACTACTTTGTACCCTAAATGTTAAACTGAGGGATGAGTGAAACAATATCAGGATTAATAAATAAATACATTCTTGAATTCCATCACTTAATAGAAGTGGCCATTTGAATGCTGGCAGGTAGGAAGAAAAGAGGAGGACAAAGAACCCCAAAAGTTGGCATCATAACTACTGCCACAAGAAAGGAGAATCAAGCAGATTGGTAAGGTAAAGACCAGGGAAACACAGGTCACTGCAGGACTGAAGAATCTTCCAAGCTTGTCAGTAATGTAAGTTTCTCATTTTCCAATAAACTAGTGTGGCATAGGTCACTGTTTAGAGTCTTGTCTTCAAAATGTTTTCCAGCATCAAGGAAAACAATCTACAAGAAACAAAATGGTGAGAAAAAGCAGCACACTCACGGCTCTGAAGAGCACAGCATAAGGCTACAAAAAGGACCAAGCACCTTCTCAACCTGCAATGTGCTCAGTGTCTGTAAATCACAAGTTAGGTGATGAAGGGCTGGTAGTTTCCCATGAATTAATAACTTTCCTTCTTGCCCCCGTGTTATCTCCCTCACCTGACCCCCGCCAATAAAACATCCTTAAAAGGCTCCTCTCAAATTCCTTGCAAACATTAGGCTCCTCTCAAATTGCTTGCACATGCTTGGAGAAGCTCACAGTGGTTAGTACACTCATACACAACTGAACTTGAGCGACACAAAGCTTACAAGACAGCAAAGACAACAGCAAAGCTGGGCCCAGCAGCCATCACCTAAAGAACTCTTCACTCGTTACATTGGAGCAGGTGATCTCTCTGGAACCAGGAACCACAGAACACTGAAGGACACGGAGCTGGTGGCTAAGGATTCAAGGCCTGCAGTGAAAATGTAACATTTCCCTCCAAGTGCTTATTTCTGCTATAAACTGGTTTAGTTTTGCAATGAACAACTAGATTTCTAACTGATATTCACGTTAATAAACTTTTCTTTTTTAAGACAGGGTCTTGCTCTGTCACCCAGGCTGGAGTGCAGTGGTGCAGTCATGGCTTACTGGAGCCTCAACCTCCTAGGCTCAACCAATCCTCCTGCCTCAGCCTCCCAAGTAGCTGGGGCTACAGATGGATGCTACCATGCCCAGCTAATTAAAGGATTTTTTTTTTTTGTAGGGATGAGGTCTCACTATGTTGCCCCGGCTGGTCTTAAACTCCTGGGATCAAGCAATTGTCCTGCTTTGGTCTCCCAAACTGCTGAGATTACAGGTGGTAGCCCCTGCACCAGGCCATTAACATTTATATATGTAAAATACATACAGAATGTAAATCACCACAAAACATAAAAATACTCCATATTGATGTAACTTACCATACTATGGATTTGTTTTAAAAATGAGGTAAAAGTCATTAAGAAAATGAAAGCACAAAAGTCTATCAAAATTACAAAAACTTAAAACCGAGTAAACAAAACTTCAGAAAGAATGAAAACAATTGGAAAATAACTTCAAGAAAAAAATGTAAAATGGAAACAATACAAGAACAATTTGTGCCCTCTGAAAAACAGAGGTTAAAGTCAGAATTTTTTTGTTCTTTTTTTTTTTTTTTTGAGACAAAGTCTCACTCTGTAGCCAGGTGCTGGGGTGCAGTGGCATGATCTCGGCTCACTGCAACCTCCGCCTCCTGAGGTCAAGTGATTCTCCTGCCTCAGCCTCCCAAATAGCTGGGACTACAAGAGTGCGCCACCACGCCTAGCTAATTTTTGTATTTTTAGTAGAGACGGGGTTTCACCTTGTTGGCCAGGCTGGTCTTTAACTCCTGACCTCAGGTGATCCACCCGCCTCGGCCTCCCAAAGTGCTGGGATTACAGGCATAAGCCACCACGCCCAGCCAGGAAAGTATTTAAAAACAAATTAAGCAAAGATTATAAAAGTTTTTGGAGTAACACATTTCCCGAAATGATCACGATCCACATCAAGTCTGAGCCATGTTGACATCCCCACGTCGGGGCCCTTCCTGGTGGTCGAGGAATCTGCAACACAGACAGAGGTGCAAGGGTCACTAGAGAGGCACAGAAGTAGAGGGAGGAGGGGCTCCCTGGGATGGGTGTGCAGGTCTCAGAGACCTCCTTGGGCCCTGGAAGGTGACCTGGGGCCCCTGAGCTCCCCACAGTCAGGTCTACTCAGATGTCAAGGCACTGAGCCCTGTGTGCTGCTCTCTGCTGAGGAGTTATCTGTCCACAGAGAGTGTGAGTGTCATGGAGGAAGAATGAACCTGGGCGCTCACACGGGCACCTTCAGGGGGCTGGTTCCCCGGAGGGTAAAACAGACACACAGAAATGGAATTTCAAGCATACCAGGATCAACAGGCAGAGTCCCATGCCCCTGGGCCCTAAGAGGAGCAGGAGGTCTCATGACACAGGGTGGGGGTGGTGACCCTGCCTTGCCACCCAGATCCTCTGTGCCATCCAGACGGAAGAGCTGCACGTTGAATATGCATAGCTTCCTGGAGAAGAGCTGCACGTTGAACATGCATAGCTTCCTGGAGAAGAGCTGCACGTTGAACATGCATAGCTTCCTGGAGAAGAGCTGCACGTTGAATATGCATAGCTTCCTGGAGCACGTCATTGTTATTGCCTAATAAGACCTGGTCTTTCTAGCATCCCAACCGGACCTGTCTTTGCTTTGTAATTTTTAAAATTATGCTTTGGTAAGACACAAATTTCTCATGTTTGTATATTCTAGCATAAAAGGGTTACAGAAGACATACATTTGAAAGAGTGAAAAACAGTGTATATGTACACACACACACACACATTCATATGTGTACCTTATTTCAAGATTGGAAAATATATTTAAAAAACAGAGGCTCGCTAAATCATGTCCTCAAACCCTCCCAAGTGAGCATGGCCCTGAAATGTCTTCAAGGGTTTGTTTTGTTGGCATTTGGCCCAAGCCAGTGCCCTCTACATACAGAAGCCTCCAACCTCATCTTGAAAAATGGGGCCATGAGGCCACCCCAGGCCCCCACAGAGGCTGAAGGACCCCTGGAACTGGAGGCCCCCAGACCCCCCAGAGGCTGAAGGACTCCTGGGACTGGACACATTTCAGTGCTTCTTGGATCCTGCCGTGTCCCCTGCTTGACACCAGGACCTACTGAGGGCCTGCTGGCCTGCAATACTGGGTCGGGTGGGCTGCTCGCTTGTGTGACAAGGAGCCTGGGGGTGCCTCCATCCCTCTCACACCTTTCCCAGGAGGCCTGAACCAGGGGGATTCATGTCAACCCTAGTGTCTCCTCAGGATGAACTAGTGATGCTCCCTGTTGTCCTCAAGGGGCTGGGAAGACAGAGCTAGGTCCCCCCAAATGAGATGTTGGTGAGCTGAAGAGTTACTGCAGACAACACAGTGCAAAGCCCTTGGAGTCCTGCACATGGGGGTGCGACCAGCACCTCAGTGTCTCCCTCACTAAGCAGCCTGTGGAGGGCTCAGCCCAGCAGGCTCAGGGGCTGCTATGGAGTGGGTGTCTGTTTCCTGGAGCATGTTCTCAGGGCATCCTTCACTTACCTTCAGAGGTCTCTAAAATATATTAAAAATGTCCCAACATTTCAGGACATTCCACCGGCTTTTCTTGCTGGGCTTCCTGGTTTTCTTCTTGGGCTTTCTGGTTTTCCTGATGGGACAACAAGAAAGTGAGCGTAGCCAAGAAGAACATGGGCACGTGCCCACTTCCCTCATCATTCTGCCCACTGCACACTCACACTTCCTCTTCCACTTTGGTCTTTTCTGTTGCTTCTTCTGCAGGTGCAGAGGAAGGACTTGCTGACATCTGTGAGGAAGAGAACAATTGTGCATGTCCAGAGACGCCAGTGCAGGAAAAGACCTATCTGTGAAGGCGGTGCCCAGAGCAGACCCAGATGTCACTGGGGGGTCCCTCCAGCAGGGTGGGGTCCAGCTCTTCTGACCCCAGCCCAGCCCCCTCCCCTGGACCCTGTAGGGTTGTTCAGCAAGATTCAAAGCTGCAACCTGGGGGCCAGTAAACAGGGCAATGCCAAGGCAGTGGGCAGGAGGGCTGGAGAGGGATTTTATCGACACTGAAGACCCGAGGACCTCAACTGTGGGATGAGACCAGGTCCTTCAGGAGAACAATCACAAGAGAGGGAAAGAGGAAAAGGACTAGAGCTAAAAAAGGAGCTCATGAGTCAGAAAGAGGATAAAAGACAGCCAGCATATAAGAGGAGATCAATTACCTGCTGGTGGCTGCCTGTAATGGTGGAGTCTTCCAATTCTGTGAAGCAAGCATCAGAGTGTCCGGAGGAGCAGCGGTGATGGGGTGGCCATAAGAAGGAAAGGGGAGAGTTAGAGTCGAGAGAACCACTCAGACCCCGCTGTCCTGGGGCTGTGGAGCCAACCCCAGAGCCTCTGATGTGCTCATTTCTGGAGCCTTCTCCACAGCCTGTATCATTTCCTCTGTGCTATGAGGGAGGGACCTCTGACTTCCCACGTACTTTCCCAGCCCTCACATTCCATAACTGAGCCAAGGGAGGGGAAGCCGTGTCATTCTGTTCCTCCAAGAGGCAGCGCCCTCTTCACAACGTTGTGCGTGACATGGAGTTCCCTCCCTTCTCCTCCTGTAGGGCCTGTTTCTGTTCCCGCATGAATCCCATTTCCTTTCACCCTGTGGACCTCCACCAGTCCTACTGTTCTCCAAAATAAGAACACTGGAAAGAAGGTCAAGGCTGCACTGCCAGGGCCTCCAATCAACCCACGGATCGCACCCTGGGTCAGCAGCACCTCCCACAGGCCTGGGGTTGTGTTGGGGCCTGCGGGAGGTGATGATGGCCGATGTCACTTATACAGTGACTGTTCTATGCCTGGAGTGACCTTAGAGACTTGGAAAATATTCAGCCCTCAAAAGAATCCCAGCAGCTTCTGAATATTTGGAAACAATGGAACAGAATTCAAGGTAAAGCTCCTTGTCCCAGTTGCCTTAATCTGCAGGTGACGCCAGCAGTTGCCAGCACAGAAATGAGGGGACCCTCCCAGGGTTTGCCTGAGCTGTGGGAAGACTAGGAGGGAAGGTACCTGGAAGACCTGACACAGAGAACAAGCTGGGCCTGACTGGAGTGTGGGGAGAAGGACAAGGCTGCTGAGCCAGAGAGGAGGGTGTGACAAGACAAGTGACCACTGTGCCAGCTGCCCAGAGGCTCTGCCCTGGGCCCAGTGGATTCCAGGGACCAGGCTACAGGGAGGGTGAGAGCCACTGCCTACAGCAACACAGCAGCCCCTCCACACATATCCCTTAGGATTCCTGCCAGCCACAGAGGGCCCTGAGCAACAGCTGGACTTGGGCCTCTCCAGTGAAAGCCAATTTAGGTTTCATTCAAAGCACAGGGATTTGGGATTGGATGGGATTGGGTGAGGAGTGGAGGCCAAAACTGTGCTCAATCATGTGTTCTGCCCTCAGGACTCCAGGATGCTGGGGCACACGTAGGAATCCCAGAGGAAGGATTCCCTGTGTCATCCGACCCAGGGAGCACCCTTAGAGCAGGAGCAGACAGTGAGGACAGGACAGGAAGGTGCTGTTGCAGGTCCCAAGAGTGTAGAGAAAGACAGTGGGCTCCTTTCACCTCCTGGCACACGTATGAAGGACTTTGTCTTCAGGATCACGTAGCGCCTATGTGGGGCTGTGTCCCACCCCACACTCAACTTTACACCTGCATACTCATCTTGTGATCTCTATTCACAAAAAAATGCTACCTCATCAAAACCCAGGGCTCTGGTGCTTACTGTGGCAAAGGCAGGAATGATCTGGTCTTCTGCAAAATGTAATATTTAAACACCAGAGCAAGAAATGATGGTGACATACACAACTCGCACAAAGCCCATGAGAAAAAAACTCTTAGGACTTTCTCATTAAGATACAAAAAATCCCAAGTCAGACTTCTACACCTGTTTCATATTTAGTCACTTCACTGATCCCATCCTAGGCTCCAAAATAAGTGTAACCCAATTCCCAAGAACCCTGTCTCACTGGTCAACCCTGGAGTGTTGGTCCCTACCTGACCAGTCTATTTCCTCCTGGATGGATCCAGAGGTGGTGCCCATGAGCCCATGTACAGAGACACAAACATTAGTACTACTGCTCTGTCCACTGTGATTCTCCCTGGGCTCTGTGAACTCAGGGGCCTTTATGAAGGCACTGCTCACAGTTGTGAGCCTTCAGGTAAGACAGAGGACCTGAAATAATCCCTTTCAACTGTTCACCGACACTGGCTCATAGCATCTCTTACCTCCAATCTGAGAACCTGAGATTCCAGCCTTGATGCAAATGCACTGAGTTAGGTGGGTGCAGAGAACAGAACCTGGGCCAGACTCACAGCAGCTGCTTCCCAGGTGATTCTGGGAGAATGGAGATGCTCTCTTAAGAGTAGACTTTTGGCAACTGGGAACTTCTAGCATGGCTCTTGTGAGGAGGTTATGAATTTTTTCATTTATTTTAACATGAATGGGCACATATGCCACTGAGAACCATACTGGAATGCACAGGTCTAAACCCAAAGATGAGGAAGATGTGACTCTCCCCCCTGGTGATTCCTGGCAGAGTGGTTTGCTGCTCTGATCTGATCATTCATGGATGGGTACTTCAGGGGCACAGGAACAAGCTCCAGGCCCCCTGTGAAGTGCAGGGATGCCACAACAAAAATAAAAAAGCCTGGTCCAGCAAAGGAGGACTCGTAAACAGAAAAACAGCCTCTTCTGCAAGGAGAAAAGCTGAACCAAAGTAGCCAGGGTAGAGATGAGGGGGACACTTCATTGACTTCAGGAGCCCACCCTATTCTCCTGTGACCTTGGATCAGAATCCACTAAGGTTTCTAAATTACTATGAGAAACAACAGATTGAAGGAGATGAGCAGGAAGCCTTTTCACACTGGTGCTGGATCTCAGCAAAGGGTTTGGAAGCATTGGAACATTACTGGGGCCCAAGATGGGCTGCCCAGGGCTAAGCTCTGGGATGAGAAGGAACGAGGAGGACATAGTCCTTCCCCTCCGTGACCAGCCATGGCCAGGATTCATCTACACATAAGTAAAGCAAAACAGAGTTTAGGACTAACAATTCCAAGACTATCTCAGAGAAAAAGGCAAAGTGATGTCTTATACATCACACAGGAGAGTTGCAAGGACCACCTGGACTCTGGAGCAGCCCCTCTCCCTTTGCTGAGTTCACCTTGCACTGAAGCAGGGTCCGTTCTCACCTCCTCTGCAACTAGTGTGGGGCAGGTATCCTGCCTGATGATTATTTCATTAAATACAATAGAATATGCCACTGATTATTGTCTGCTTTTGAAAAGGAGCTGAGGAATGATTTCACCATTCTAGACCAAAAGCCTGAGGACTGTGTGTGTTTTACATTAATGATCACACTAAAGCCCACTGTGCAATGTACCTACTCAAACAAACCCTGGGTTAGCTGACCATTGAGACCATCTGATAACGATAGTGTTTGGGATCTGAATAGCTTTTCATTCTCCCACATGCACACAGAATTGCTGGAATAACTTGGCCTAGCAAGAAATTATACCAGGGCTTTGTGACAAATTCAGTGTACTAGCTCATGGCATTAACCTTCCACTCATCCCCGAGTTCACATGTGCCTCTTGCACTTAAAAGACCAAGAGCTTGGGAAATTCAACTCTGCAGCATGTCCATCTGAGGACTGGGTATATTAAACTTATCTTCAGGTACAGCTGTGGTGGACGATGAATGGGTTGATTTATGCAAACTGTGCAGTGGTGATGGAATTTTTCTTGGACATTGATCCTTGTGTTGTGCTTTGAACATGGGAGTATGTTTTCTGGGGAAATGCACACACACTCACAAAGACATCCACAATCATTCCATATAGACTCTCTCCTCTGTCCCTCCCAACTCTGATGTACTACCCCACCTTACATGACACTGCTGCTTCCAGGGATGACAGTAGCATGGTTAGAGTACTGGACTCTTAGTTTGTTGGGGTGTTTTTTTGTTTTTTGTTTTTTTTTTTTTTTTTTTGAGACGGAGTTTCGCTCGTTGCCCAGGCTGGAGTGCAATGGCACAACCTTGGCTCACCTCAACCTCTACCACCTCGGTTCAAGTGATTCTCCTGCCTTGGCCTCCTGAGTAGCTGGGATTGCAGGCATGTGACACCACACCCAGGTAATTTTGTATTTTTAGGAGCGGTGGGGTTTCTCAATGTCAGTCAGGCTGGTCTCAAACTCCTGACCTCTGCTGATCCGCCCGTCTCCGCCTCTCAAGGTGCTGGGATTACAGGCGTGAGCCACTGTGCCCGGTGTGACTCTTAGTAGTTTTTAAACCAAAATTCCCAAATCTCATTTCTGGCAGAAAGCTCAAACCAGAGTGGCCCTTGAGCAAAAGCAGGTGAAGCAGCACTACCTTTACAACACTAAGATTTCACACCTAAACAAAGAGATGATCCCAGAATACGTACGCTTTGCCAGTGTGGCTGGGTCCACCTGCATCTAGAGAAAAAGAAAACACTATGAGGGTCAGACCATGCTGTCTCCTGTGTGCACAGGTCTTCACTTGTTGACGTTAAAAAGCCAGATGGTAAACAGTGGTTGAGACAATGGCCCCGGTATCTAGAAGACATTCCTGGAAAGGCACAGGATTTCTGTGCAACATTTTCAATTGTTTTTCTTTGACAATTCCAAATTCTTCTCAAGAAGAAGGCATTTCTCTTAAGGAAAATGCCTGTTGACACACAGTTTGTAAGTGTGGATGCCATCTGAAACCACTGTTTAGTTGATAATGAACTCTGGCATTTGCCCACCAAGAAATTCTGTCAGTCACCTATAGTGTATATGGTGAGGTGTATACATCTTAATTCAATTGAAACAGAGAAACCGAGAGAAATAAAATTTCCTTTTCAGAGGAAAGAAGACGACTTTACCATGTGAACCCCTGTGGCTTCCTCAGAGACTGTCTGCCCTGGCACATGCTCCTCCAGGTCTTCCAGGTCACCTAGGAAACAGAGTCGCTATAAGCACATGAGCTCCACTGAGTGAATCCCTCAGGTGGTCTTGGAGCTGTGGACACGGGGCTGGCATGTGTGGAAAGGTGTGTTCACAGCACAGACTCAGCTGCTGCCGGTCCATCCTCCGTGGTGGAGAGGGAAGGCAAATGGTGAAGGAAGGCACCAGGAAGGCCTCAGAAGACAGAGCCTTGGTCCTCTAGCTACGCCAACCTCTTCGACATGAAAGAGCCCATCTCAAACAGAGCACACCACACAGTGTTTCACTGCAGCATCCAGGACTCCTCCTTCCTAATATGACCTGAGCTAACTTGCCCTCTTATTGATCCCTGCCAAAGTCATTTCCTCCTCACAATCCACTGAGGAGGATGCTGATGTGTTTATCATCCCTTTTAGAGGATTTTGTATGGAATAAGAAGCAACCATTCTTAAAATAGGAGATTTAATTCTAGCCAAAAGATTTTATTACTGACTTTCTGTTACAAGGCAAATAAACCAAGATTTGAAAATAATTATCCTACCATTTAAAGATGACCCCTACTTAGCATGTGGTATTTGTTCTTCCACTCTCCCTTTTCAACAGAATTTGTGTGCACCATGATGTTCACTGCTCCTCATGCTCACACTGACTCCAGCACTGGGACAGCCTGTCATGGGGAGCAGCGAGGGGGTGCGGGGGGCGGGCACTGACCCTCTCCAACCCAGCTGTGCAGGAGATTCCAGCAGGGAAAATGGGTGCCCGGCTAACACCCAAGTTGAGCCTTGAGATTTTTTTATTGGATGCTATGTCTTGGGATTGGGTTCCACTGAACTTCTAAGACTTGCGGTGATTATCTCCTTAAATACAATAGAGTATGGCACTGATTATTGTCTGCTTTTGAACAGGAGCTGAGGAATGACCTCAACACTGTAGTCCAAAAGCCTGAGGACTCTGTGTGTTTTACATTAATGGTCACACTAAAGCCCACTGTGCAATGTACCTACTCAAACCCTGGGTTAGCTGACCATTGAGACCACCCAATAACGATAGTCTGTGGGATCTGAATAGGTTTTCATTCTCCCACATGCACACAGAAGTGCTGGGATCAGTTGGCCTAGGAAGAAACTATACAAGGGCTTTGTGACAAATTCAGTGTAGTAGCTCATGCCGTTAACCTTCCACTCATCCCCGAGTTCACATGTGCCTCTTCCACTTAAAAGACCAAGAGCTTGGGAAATTCAACTCTGCAGCATGTCCATCTGAGGACTGTGGATATTAAACTTATCTTCAGGTACAGCTGTGGTGGAGGATGAATGGATTGATTTATGGAAACTGTGCAGTGGTGATGGAATTTTTCTTGGACATTGATCCTTGTGTTGTGCTTTGAACATGGGAGTATGTTTTCTGGGGAAATGCACACACACTCGCAAAGACATCCACAATCATTCCATATAGACTCTCTCCTCTGTCCCTCCCAACTCTGATGTACCACCCCACCTTAGATGACACTGCTGCTTCCAGGGATGACAGTAGCATGGTTAGAGTACTGGACTCCCAGTTTGTTGGGTTTTTTTTTTTTTTTTTTTTTGAGACAGAGTTTCACTCGTTGCCCAGGCTGAAGTGCAATGGCACAACCTTGGCTCACTGCAACCTCTACCACCTGGGTTCCAGTGATTCTCCTGCCTCAGCCTCCTGAGTAGCTGGGATTACAGGCATGTGACAACACACCCAGGTAATTTTGTATTTTTAGGAGCGATGGGGTTTCTCAATGTCAGTCAGGCTGGTCTCAAACTCCTGACTTCTGCTGATCCGCCCGTCTCCACCTCTCAAGGTGCTGGGATTACAGGCGTGAGCCACTGTGCCCGGTGTGACTCTTAGTAGTTTTTAAACTGAACTTCCCAAATCTCATTTCTGGCAGAAAGCTCAAACCAGAGTGGCCCTTGAGCAAAAGCAGGTGAAGCAGCGCCACCTTTACAACACTAAGATTTCAAACCTAAACAAAGAGATGATCCCAGAATACGTACTCTTTGCCGGCGTGGCTGGGTCCACCTGCATCTAGAGAAAAAGAAAACACCATGAGGGTCAGACCATGCTGTCTCCTGTGTGCACAGGTCTTCACTTGTTGACATTAAAAAGCCAGATGGTAAACAGTGGTTGAGACAATGGCCCCGGTATCTAGAAGACATTCCTGGAAAGGCACAGGATTTCTGTGCAACATTTTCAATTGTTTCTGTTTGACAATTCCAAATTTTTCTCAAGAAGAAGGCATTTCTCTTAAGGAAAATGCCTCTGACACACAGTTTCTAAGTGTGGATGCCATCTGAAACCATTTTTTAGTTGATAATGAACTCTGGCATTTGCCCACCAAGAAATTCTGTCAATCACCTATAGTGTACATGGTGAGATGTATACATCTTAATTCAATTGAAACAGAGAAACCGAGAGAAATAAAATTTCCTTTTCAGAGGAAAGAAGACGACTTTACCATGTGAACCCCTGTGGCTTCCTCAGAGACTGTCTGCCCTGGCACATGCTCCTCCAGGTCTTCCAGGTCACCTAGGAAACAGAGTCGCTATAAGCACATGAGCTCCACTGAGTGAATCCCTCAGGTGGTCTTGGAGCTGTGGACACGGGGCTGGCGTGTGTGGAAAGGTGTGTTCACAGCACAGACTCAGCTGCTGCCGGTCCATCCTCCATGGTGGAGAGGGAAGGCAAATGGTGAAGGAAGGCACCAGGAAGGTCTCAGAAGACAGAGCCTTGGTCCTCTAGCTACGCCAACCTCTTCGACATGAAAGAGCCCATCTCAAACAGGGCACACCACACAGTGTTTCACTGCAGCCTCCAGGGCTCCTCCTTCCTAATCTGACCTCAGCTAACTTGTCCTCCCTTCTTTATCCCCTCGAGGTCATTTCCTCCCAGGATCCACCTGTCCTGCTGCTGTGTTTTTTGTCCCTCCCAGAACTTGCTTTTTTTTTTTTTTTTGAGATGGAGTTTCTCTTTTCTTGCCCAGGCTGGAGTATAATGGTGCCATCTCGACCCACCACAACCTGTGCCACCTGGGTTCAAGTGATTCTCCAGTGTCAGCCTCCTGAGTAGCTAGGATTACAGGCATGCATCTCCATGCTTGGCTAATTCTGTATTTTTAGGAGAAACGGGTTTTCTCCATGTTGGTCAGTCTGGTCTCGAACTCTCAACCTCAGGTAATCTGCGCGCCTTGGCCTCCCAAAGTGCTGGGGTTACAGGCGTCAGTCACCATGTCACAACTTTTGTACTAGATAAAAAGCAACCCTTCCTCAAAGAGGAGACTTAATTCTAACTAAAATATCCTACGTATTCACTAACCTTTTGTTTTAAAGAAGACTAAGCCAAGATTTGAAAATACTCAATTATCCTACCATTTAAAGATGACCGCTACTTGGCCCATGGTGTTTGTGCTTCTGCTCTTCCTTTTAACACAGTGTGTGTGTGCCATGGGACCTGCTGCTGCTCATGCTCACACTGGCTCCAGCACTAGGACAGCCCATCATGGGGGCAGCAGGTGGGGGTGCTGAACCTCTCCAACCCAGCTGTGTAGGAGTCCAGCAGAGAAGATGAGGACCAGGGTAACATCCAAGTTTTTCCTTCGGTTCTTATTTGGTGCTGTGTCTTGGGGGTATGTGCTGAACTGCAGCATATGTAAGGCTTGTGGAGATTATGCCATTAAATACAATATAACACACCTGATTATTTTGTGCTTTTGATCAGGACATGAGAAAATAACACAGCACTGCATGAGCCACCCTCCATCATGCTAGGAAGGCAAGTGCTCACCCTGCCTCTCAGACCCTAGGGCAAACCCCTTGGTTTTCTTTTCATGTTGTAGTTTCTGAGCCGAGCACACAGAAACCATGACTAGGCTGAGGGATACAAGGCTGAAACTCTACATGACCCTGGAATTATCCATTCTGGGCCCCATTATCTTATGGTCAATATGAGACCTCTATGGAGAAAGTTGGGGTGATTTCCCCCTAACCCCGCCTGCAGGCTCCTCTCTTCTCAGTTTCCCAGCAGAACTCGCTGTAGCATGAGGCTGCTCCAGGGTCTAAATGCACAGGAAGAAGCCCTGCCCCACTCTCCTTGCTCAAGATGGGTGGTGGAGGGTCAGTTCTGAGGGCTTTGGTAGAAAAGGCTTGTAAAGGAGGGAAGGGGCTAGAGTGAGGTGTCATGCCATTCTAGTGGCAAGAGGAAATAGAAAGGCCTGTGAAGAGGTGAGGTTTATTAGAAAATAAAGTATAGCAGGGAATTCTGAATGAAAAAATAAAATCAGCAGAGATCCTGACACAGTCCTGTTCTATGGGTGTGCAGTAAGAATTTGCCTGGGTGTGGAGAGGATTTCTTTTAGGTTAATTAAAGTGTCCTGTGCGTGAAATAAACTGTACACTTTGGAAGCTTACAAGTTAATTTTTTCATGTGCCTGCAACAGGACTGCAACGGTGATGGAAATCTCTGTTGAGAATGTGGACACTAGAAAATCCGGGGATATGTAGTACGGAAACCCACACACACGCCCCCAGACTCACTGACCACGGCACCACATGAATTCACAAAAGACATGAGCAGGCCCCTTGCACGGGATCCCACCCCACCTTCAGAGAACACAGCTGCTCCCGGGGACTGCAGAATGTGGCCACTGTTTCTTATCTAGAAAACCATTTCTCCCATCACAGTCTAGGTCCTCATTCACAACATGAAGCTCAGCTCAGGCTGTCTGTCTACAGGAAAGCCAGTGAGACAGGGCCACATTCCTCAACATCTGGATTACTCATCAGTATGAGAGGGGTTCCCCAATACGTACCACGTTGTGGAACTCCCAAGGATGTCTGTAACGACAGAAAATAAATTGCTATGAGCATCAGACCATGCTGTGTCCTGTGAGCACAGGACTTTTCTTCACTTAGTGACATTAGAAAACAAGATGGAAAACCCAGTGTTCAAAGGAACCCCAAAGAAGCGAACAAATCAACTCATACTAAAGACACACATTTTTCTCAGAGGATGTTTCCTCTGAAGTCCATGTTGGCTGGCAAGTAGCTGATTTTGCTCCAAAGAGAACAAAATTGGTAAGGCTCACTGTTACACAACGGGTGACTGATGCTGTCATTTTCTCCCACTGTCTTAAATCAAGCCTCAGTGGGGACAGACTCTCACTTACCATTTCCCCCAAGGACACTGTGTAACTAAGATATATATCGTCAGAGTCTCATATCTTAATTTAATCCAAATAAGATAAAGCTAAGAAAGCAACAGTTTTTTCTCAGACAAATCCAGTTGGCCTGACCTTCACCTCCTCTGGGTCCTCCTCCTCGCCGTTGTAACTGGACAGCTCCTGAAGTACATCCCTGATCAGAACTAGGAGGATACAAAGTGACCATCAGCACCTTGGTGGTGGTGCTCATGAACAATTCAGTAACACTGCTTGAGGTGGGTTTGGGAGGAGGGTAGCAGGCACAGGAGAGATGCAGGAAGAAAGGGAATCAGGGCCTTTGGCTTCCTAGCTCCAGGCCACCTCATAAACATAAAATAGCCAATCTCAAACAGTGCACACCACGCAGTGCAGGCTGTGTGTCCCTGGCAGTCTCTGAGGGCTCCTCCTTCCTAATCTGACCTGAGCTAACTTGCCCTCTTATTGATCCCTGCCAAAGTCATTTCCTCCTCAGAATCCACATGTGCTGCTGATCTGTTTATCATCCCTTCTAGAAGATTTTGTACGGAATAAGAAGCAACCTTTCTTAAAATAGGAGATTTAATTCTAGCCAAAAGATTTTATTACTAACTTTCTGGTACAAGGCAAATAAACCAAGATTTGAAAATAATTTTCCTACCATTTAAAGATGACCCCTACTTAGCATGTGGTATTTGTTCTTCCACTTTCCCTTTTCAACAGAATTTGTGTGTAGCATGATGTTCACTGCTCCCCATGCTCACACTGACTCCAGCACTGGAGCAGCCTGTCATGGGGAGCAGCGAGGGGGTGCGGGGGGTGGGCACTGACCCTCTCCAATCCAGCTGTGCAGGAGATTCCAGCAGGGAAAATGGGTGCCCGGCTAACACCCAAGTTGAGCCTTGACTTTTTTTTATTGGATTCTATGTCTTGGGATTGGGTTCCACTGAACTTCTAAGACTTGCCGTGATTATCTCATCAAATACAATAGAGTATGGCACTGATTATCGTCTGCTTTTGAACAGGAGCTGAGGAATGACCTCAACGCTGTAGACCAAAAGCCTGAGGACTCTGTGTGTTTTACATTAATGATCACACTAAAGCCCACTGTGCAATGTACCTACTCAAACAAACCCTGGGTTAGATGACCATTGACACCATCTGATAATGATAGTGTTTGGGATCTGAATAGGTTTTCATTCTCCCACATGCACACAGAAGTGCTGGAATAACTTGGCCTAGCAAGAAATTATACCAGGGCTTTGTGACAAATTCAGTGTACTAGCTCATGGCATTAACCTTCCACTCATCCCTGAGTTCACATGTGCCTCTTCCATTTAAAAGACCAAGAGCTTGGGAAATTCAACTCTGCAGCATGTCCATCTGAGGACTGCGGATATTAAACTTATCTTCAGGTACAGCTGTGGTGGAGGATGAATGGGTTGATTTATGCAAACTGTGCAGTGGTGATGGAATTTTTCTTGAACATTGATCCTCATGTTGTGCTTTGCAGATGGGAGTGTGTTTTCTGGGGAAATGCACACACACTCCCAAAGACATCCACAATCATTCCATACAGACTCTCTCCTCTGTCCCTCCCATCCCTGATGTACCACCCCACCTTAGATGACACTGCTGCTTCCAGGGATGACAGTAGCATGGTTAGAGTGGTTTACTGGATCTTAGCATTCTTTTAAACCAAACTTCCCAAATCTCATTTCTGGCAGACAGCTCAAACCAGAGTGGCTCTTGAACAAAGGCAGGCAAAACAGTGCCATCTTTGCAACTCTAATATTTTGAACCTAAACAAAGAGATGATCCCAGAATACGTACGTTCGGCCAGTGTGTCTGGGTCCCCCTCCATCTAGAGAAAAACAAAACACTATGAGGTTCAGACCAGGCTGTGTCCTGTGTGCACAGGTCTTCTCTTCACTTGTTTATGTTAAAAAAACAGATGGTAAATAGTACTTGAGACAATGGCCCCGATATCTAGAAGACATTCGTGGAAAGGCACAAGATTTTTGTGCAAGATTTTCAATTGTTTTTGTTTGACAATTCCAAATTTTTCTCAAGAAGACATTTCTCTTAAGGTAAATGCCTGCTGACACACAGTTTGTAAATGTGGATGCCATCTGAAACCACTCTTTAGTTGATAATGAACGCTGACATTTGCCCACCAAGAAATTCTGTCAGTCACCTATAGTGTACATGGTGAGATGTATACATCTTAATTCAATTGAAACAGAGAAACCGAGAGAAATAAAATTTCCTTTTCAGAGGAAAGAAGACGACTTTACCATGTGAACTTCTGTGGCTTCCTCAGAGACTGTCTGCCCTGGCCCATGCTCCTCCAGGTCTTCCAGGTCACCTAGGAAACAGAGTCGCTATAAGCACATGAGCTCCACTGAGTGAATCCCTCAGGTGGTCTTGGAGCTGTGGACACGGGGCTGGCGTGTGTGGAAAGGTGTGTTCACAGCACAGACTCAGCTGCTGCCGGTCCATCCTCCATGGTGGAGAGGGAAGGCAAATGGTGAAGGAAGGCACCAGGAAGGTCTCAGAAGACAGAGCCTTGGTCCTCTAGCTAAGGCAACCTCTTTGAGATGAAGTAACCCATCTCAAACAGGGCACACCACACAGTGTTTCCCTGGAGCATCGACAGCTTCTCCTTCCTAATCTGACCTGAGCTAACTTGCCCTCCCTTCTTGATCCCCTAGAGGTCATTTCCTCCCCAGGATCCACATGTCCTGCTGCTGTGTATTTTGTCCCTCCTAGAATTATTATTATTATTATTTTTGAGATGGAGTTACTCTCTTCTTGCCCCAGCTGGAGTATAATTGTGCAATCTCAACCCACCACCACCTCTGCCTCCCAGGTTCAAGTGATTCTCCAGCCTCAGCCTCCTGAGTAGCTGGGATTATAGGCATGCATCACCATGCCCGGTTAATTCTGTATTTTTAGGAGAGATGGGTTTTCTCCATGTTGGTCAGCCTGGTTTCGAACGCCTGGCCTCAGGTGATCCACCCGTCTTGGCCCCCCAAACTGCTGGAATTACAGGTGTGAGCCACCATGCCTGACCAGAATATTCTGTACTAGAAACAAAGCAACCTTTCTTCAATGAGGAGATTAATTCTATCAAAATATTCTATGTATTCACTAACTTTTTGTTTTAAAGAAGACTAAACCAAGATTTGAAAATACTCAATTATCCTACCATTTAAAGATGACTGCTACTTGGCCCGTGATGTTTGTCCTTCTGCCCTTCCTTTTAACACAGTGTGCGTGTGCCACGGGACCTGCTGCTGCTCATGCTCACACTGGCTCCAGCACTAGGACAGCCCATCACGGGGGCAGCAGGTGGGGGTGCTGAACCTCTCCAACCCAGCTGTGTAGAAGAGTCCAGCAGAGAAGATGAGCACCAGGATAACACCCAAGTTTTTCCTTCGGTTCTTATTTGGTGCTGTGTCTCGGGGGTGTGTGCTGAACTGCAGCATATGTAAGGCTTGTGGAGTTTATGCCGTTAAATACAACATAACACGCCTGATTATTTTCTGCTTTGGATCAGGAGATGAGAAAATAACGCAGCACTGCAGCCAAAAGCCTGACCTCGCATTGTCTGTTTCCCATCTGTCACCACACCAAAGTCCACTGTAAAATGTACTTATTCCTACACGGAGTTATGTGACCATTGAGACAATCCTACATGAGAGACAGTGCTTGGGATTTCTGAAGGCCATCCAACTTCCATATGCACACATAGGTGCTAAAACTCTCCGGCATAACAACAAATTATACCTGAACCATGTGATTACTTCAGAGTAGTAGCCCATGGCATCAACCTTCCACCCACTCCTGAGTTCACCTCTACCTCTTGCACTGAGGAGATAAAGCACTTGGCAAATTCATCTCTGCACTATCTCCAGCTGCGTACTGGGGATATTAAACTGGCCTTCAGCTACAGCTGTGGTGGAGGATAAATGGGCAGAGTGACGTTAAGGTGTGCAGTGGTAATGGAATTTTTATTTACAACACTCATCTTTGTGTTGAGCTGTGCACATGGAAGCATGCTATCTGGAGAAATATACACATCCTCCCAAAGACATTCATAATCACTATACATAGACTCTCTTCTTATACCCGCCCCCCACCTTGATGCACCTCATTCGATTTCATAGAATGACACGGCAGCTAACAGAGACTACGTAGGATGGTCACCACTCGTCAGTACACTCTTAGAAATTTCTTCCCAAACCCCATTTTCCAATAGGAAGCTCCAATGAGAGTGGTTCTCCAGAAAACGCAGGCAAGAACGTGTCACCTTTCTCAACACTAAGATTTTTCCTTAGCAAAAAGGTGATCCCAGAATACGTACCGTTGGTTTGGATGCCTGTGTCTGCCTGCGTTTAGAGAAAGAAAAACACCATGAGGGTAAGATCATGCTGTCTCTGTGCACAGGTCTTTTCTAAACTTGGTGCTATTAGAAAACCAGATGGGAAATTCTGGTGGAGGCAATGGCCACAAAAATAAAGCCTAGAGAACACTTGTAGAAAGGCACCAGGTTTTTGTGCAAGATTATTTAAAATTTATTTTGGTTGCAAATTCATAATTCTCAAAAAGGTTTTTCTCCTGAGGACAATGCTTGCTGACATAGTTTGTAACTGAAGCTGTCATCTATGAATGCCATCTTCAATCAGTTCTTAGTTAGTAATGAATTCTCATTTTACATTTTCCCACCAAGAAATTCTGTAAGTCATCTGTAATGTACATGGCAGTAAGATTTTCCTATCTTTATTCAAGTGAAATTGAAAGAAACCTAGGAAAATGAAATTCCCCTTTCAGACAAAAAAAGAACAACTTACATGGGCAACAGTGAGGAGACTCTGATTGGATGCTTCAGGGAGATGTTCTGCTATAAACTCCTCTAGATGATCTAGGAGAAATAGGGTAAGTGTCACTGCATGGATTCCGCTGAGGGAATCCCTCGGGTTGTATTGGGTGGTGTGGACATGAGGCTGGCATGTGTGAAGAAGGTTGGCTACCCCAGACGGAGCCGCAGGCCCTTTCTCCTTGGTGGTGCAGGCAGGCAAATGAGACAACGAGGAAAGCCATGGGAACTAGAGCGTTGGTCCTCTGGCTAACGCAAGCTCATCAATGGCACTCAGCTGATCTCAAAGATGGCACACCATAGGGGCAGGCTGTGCTTCCCTACAACGTCTCAGGTTCCTCCTTCCTAATCTGACCTGAGCTAACTTGCCCTCCCTTTGTGATCCCTTCTGAGGTCATTTCCCCCTCAGGATCCACATGTGCTGCTGCTGTTCATCATCCCTCCTAAAACATTTTGTACTGCATAAAAGCAACCTTTCTTCAAAAAAATTTAACCTTTGGTGATCAAGCCTGGCAACTACTCTGTGTCTGGCCTGACCCTGAAGTCAAAAAAACTTATGACTTCACTGAACCTTTGAGTCAAACAGAATTAAACCAAGATTTGAAAATACTCAATTATCCTACCATTTAAAAATGACCCGCACTTAGCTTATTTGTCCTTCCACTCTTCCTTTTCAACACGATGTATGTGTCCATGGAGTCAGTTGCTGTTCATGCTCACGCTGACTCCAGCACTAGGACAGATCATCATGGGGGGCAGTAGGTGGGGGCGCTAACACTCTCCAAACTAGCTGTGCAGGAAATCCCACTGGGGTGATGGACACCAGAATAACACCCCAATTCTTCCTTGAGCTCTTATTCTGCACTGTGTATTGGATGTGTGGGCTGAATAAGGGCATGTGGAACACTTGTGGCCATCATGTTATTAAACATAGTAGAATATGTCCCTGATTGTTCTCTGCATTTTTTTTTTTTTTGAGATGAAATCTCACTGTGTTGCCCAGGCTAGAATGCAGTGCCATGATCAAGGCTTAGGTGCAGCAAACCACCATGACACATTTATACCGATGTAACAAAGCTGCATGTTCTACACATGCATCCTAGAATTGCAAGCAAAATAAAAACAATAAAAAGAGTAAACCCAGAATACATACCTTCTGATGGAAAGCATACCCTTTTCTGCAAATAGAGAAAAGAAAAACATTATGAGAGTCAGACCACACTGTGGCCTGTGTGCACAGGTCTTTTCTGCATTGTTGACATTATAGAAAACCCAATGGAAATAGTGAAAATAGTCAACACAAGGGCTCCAAATTAAAGCCTAGAGGGCACGTGGAAAGGCACAAGTTTTCTGTGCATGATTTCCAAGTTTATTTTCATTGCATGTTCACCATTAGTTTCAAGAAGGAAGCACTTCTCCTATGGAAAATGCTTACTGCCCTAGAGTTTTTAAGTGAACCTGTCATCTTGAATTCATTCTTGCTGGTAATTGACTCTGACTTTACAGCTGCCCACCAAGACATTCTGTAAGTCATCTATAATGTACATGGTAAGATGATCATCTCTTATCTCAATTTCTATGGAAACTAAGAGAAATAAAATTCCCACCTCAGATAAACAAAAAAGACTTTACCTTCACAGAGCCTGGCAACGTCTCCGAGAGTATCTCGGGTGGACACAATGGCTTGCCCAAGGAGCCTTCGTCACGCTCTAGGAAACACAGAGTAATTGTCAGCACGTTGGGTGCACTGAAGGAATCCGTCAGGCAGACTTGTGTGCTAAAAACACGGGGCTGGCACATGTAGACAAGGGGGGTTAACTGCAAAAACGGACCTCCTGCCAGAACATCCTCCTTGGTGATGAAGAAAGGTCAATGAGACCATCAGGAAAGCCACGGAAGACAGAGCCTTGGCAGCACAGACATGCACTGCTGATGCCATGGCAGTGTCTCATCATTCCCCTATGCGTTTTGAGGCCTGGGAAATTTCCACTTTCCTGTTGAAATGTGACAATGTCATTTATCTTTCCTGGGTCTACATATGCCTCTCTTGCACTTTCCATTCATTTTATTGAACTTCAGACATTGTTGTGGTAAAACATATACAAAATTTATTATTGTAATCATTCAGTGCACACTTCAGGAACAGACAGACCAGAACCGCAGGGGCAGAGAAGAGAAAACCTCACTGTTTGAGGAGCCCACCCTCTTCTCCCCGACCCTGGATTACAACCCACGCAGGTAACTGGGTAAGTGTGGGAACCCGGAGACTATAGAAAATGAGCAGAAAGTTTTTGCACACTTGTGCTAGATCTCAGAACAGGAATGCAGGCATCGGAACATCACTGGGGCCCAAGATGGGCTGCCCAGAGCTGAGCTCTGGGATGAGAAAGAAGGATGAGGACACAGTCCCTGCCCTCCCAGTGACCAGCCATGGCCAGGATTCCTCCACCTGTGAGTAGGAGACTACAGACTTTGGGACTGATGATTGCAAGGCTGTCTCAGAGAAACTGATCTCTTATGGATCACGCGGGAGGGTTGCAAGGACCACCTAAACTCCAGGGCAGCCCCTCTCCCTTTGTTGAGTTCAGCCTGCCTTAGAGCAAGGTCCCCTCCTCGCCTCCTCCAACACTAGCATTGGGCAGCTGCCCTGCCTTGGAGCTGAGGCTCCCTCCAGTAAAACGGAACTCTGGGCCAGGACACTCTTGGCCAATAGTAGCTACACAAGGACCACCTGTCCAGCGACTCCCAGAAGCTGATCTTTGTCCCAGCCACAGGGTGATCAAGCCTGGCAACTACTCTGTGTCTGGCCTGACCCTGAAGTCCATCCCTAATGATCATGTCCTCTCTGGGCTAAGTTGAACATTTCAGGAACTCACTCCTGTTCTCTGTCTCTCACTAATTTCTGGTGGTGCCATTGCTGTCAACACACAGGGAGATGGAGAAGACAAGAAACAAGAAAGTAGCTCCTCTGTCCAGGCTTTTGGGAAGATGGCCAATGTTCAGGCCAGCCATGAAGTCGGAGCTCAACTCCTCCTTCAGATGAGGCTTGAACATTCCGGCCGTGCCCAGGTGATGTAGAACTGACTCTCCTGATGTTGCACCTTGGCTTCCCTCGTGGCTTTGCTGCCCTCATGCCTTCCTTCTGCTCCTCCAAATCATGTTCCTCTGCAGGCCCAGGCCAAGGCTGTAGCCTGCTGTCTCTCGCATAGAGCCCAACGGGCAGCTGTCTATGAATTTTTAGAGCCCCAATGTTGGTAACACTGATTTGTACCTTTAATCGCTCACAGCAGAAAGCCCCCTGAGTACCACAAGAAACTATATTCTAGAGATTAAAGATGACTAGGGGAATCGGGTTATGAGGGGACAGTGTCTGAGGTTAGTGAAGGACATTTTCAAATCACACCAGCCTGATTGTTTTACAACGTGGGATAAGTAATGACACCTACACAGCAATCAAATTTGATTTATACACAATAAGTTTCCACCAAATGCATACTCCAAGAAAAAACTCAAGCTAAATTTGGCTGACTTTATATTCCTATTCACCGAAACCAACTGCATTCACTTGTTTTTTTTTTGTTTTTTTTTTTTTTTTTTGCAACAGCCTTCAGAAACAAACAAGCACCTTTGCCAACAGTCGGTTGAATGGGGACATCGTGGAGCCTCTGCAGTACCACAGCCGAGTTTGCTTTCCCACCTGCAGTGCATGAGCCACCCTCCATCATGCTAGGAAGGCAAGTGCTCGCCCTGCCTCTCAGACCCTAGGGCAAACCCCTTGGTTTTCTTTTCATGTAGTTTCTGAGCCGAGCACACAGAAACCATGACTAGGCTGAGGGATAGAAGGCTGAAACTCTATATGACCCTGGAATTATCCATTCTGGGCCCCATTATCTTATGGTCAATATGAGGCCTCAATGGAGAAAGTTGGGGTGATTTCACCCCAACCCCACCTGCAGGCTCCTTTCTCAGTTTCCCAGAACTCGCTGTAGCATGAGGCTGCTCCAGGGTCTAAATGCACAGGAAGAAGCCCTGCCCCACTCTCCCTGCTCAAGATGGGTGGTGGAGGGTCAATTCTGAGGGCTTTGGTAGATAAAAGGCTTGTAAAGGAGGGAAGGGGCTAGAGTGAGGTGTCATGACCACTCCAGTGGCAGAGGAAATAGAAAGGCCTGTGAAGAGGTGAGGTTTATTAGAAAATAAAGTATAGCAGGGAATTCTGAATGAAAAAATAAAATCAGCAGAGATTCTGACACAGTCCTGTTCTATGGGTGTGCAGTAAGAATTTGCCTTTGTGTTGACAGGATTTCTTTTAGGTTTATTGAAGTGCCCTGTGCATGAAATAAACTGCAAACATTGGAAGCTTACAAGTTAATCTTTTTTTGTGCCTACAATAGGACCGCAATGGTGACGGAAATCTCTGTTGAGAATGTGGACACTAGAAACTCTGGGGATATGTAGTATGGAAACCCACACACCCGCCCGCCAGACACACGGACCATGGCACCACATGAATTCACAAAAGACATGGCAGGCCCCTTGCACGGGATCCCACCCCACCTTCAGAGAACACAGTTGTTCCCGGGGACTGCAGAATGTGGCCACTGTTTCTTATCTAGAAAAACCATTTCTCCCATCACAGTCTAGGTCCTCATTCACAACATGAAGCTCAGCTCAGGCTGCCTGTCTACAGGAAAGCCTGTGAGACAGGGCCACATTCCTCAACATCTAGATTACTCATCAGTATGAGAGGGGTTCCCCAATACGTACCACATTGTGGAACTCCCAAGGATGTCTGTAACGACAGAAAATAAATTGCTATGAGCATCAGACCATGCTGTGTCCTGTGAGCACAGGACTTTTCTTCACTTAGTGACATTAGAAAACAAGATGGAAAAACCAGTGTTCAAAGGAACCCCAAAGAAGAACAGAGCAAATCAACTCATACTAAAGACACAAATTTTTCTCAGAGGATATTTCCTCTCAAGTCCATGTTGGTTGGCAAGTAACTGATTTTGCTCCAAAGAGAGAACAAAATTAGTAAGGCAAAAGCTCCCTGCCCCACAATGTGTGACTGATGCTGTCATTTTCTCCCACTGTTTTAAATCAAGCCTCAGTGGGGACAGACTCTCACTTACAATTCCCCCCAAGGACACTGTGTAACTAAGATACATATTGTCAGAGTCTCATATCTTAATTTAATCCAAATAAGATAAAGCTAAGAAAGCAACTGTTTTTTCTCAGACAAATCCAGGTGGCCTGACCTTCATCGCCTCTTGGTACTTCTTCCATGTGCTGTATAGGTGGAGCTCCCGTAGTCGCCGTAGTTGCCGTTTCATCTCAACTAGGAGGATACAGAGTGACCGTCAGCACCTTGGTGGTGGCGCTCATGAACAATTCAGTAACACTGCTTGAGGTGGGCTTGGGAGGAGGGTAGCAGGCACAGGAGAGATGCAGGAAGAAAGGGAATCAGGGCCTTTGGCTTCCTAGCTCCAGGCCGCCTCATAAACATATAATAGCCAATCTCAAACAGTGCACACCAGCAGTGCAGGCTGTGTGTCCCTGGCAGCCTCTTAGGGCTCCTCCTTCCTAATCTGACCTGAGCTAACTTGCCCTCTTATTGATCCCTGCCAAAGTCATTTCCTCCTCAGAATCCACATGTGCTGCTGATCTGTTTATCATCCCTTCTAGAAGATTTTGTACTAAACAAGAAGTAACCTTTCTTAAAATAGGAGATTTAATTCTAGCCAAAAGATTTTATTACTAACTTTCTGTTACAAGGCAAATAAACAGAGATTTGAAAATACTCTATTATCCTACCATTTAACGATGACCCCTACTTAGCATGTGATATTTGTTCTTCCGCTCTTCCTTTTCAACACCATGTGTGTGCACCATGGAGTTCACTGCTGCTCATGCTCACACTGACTCCAGCACAGAGACAGTCTGTCATGGGGAGCAGCGAGGCGGGGCAAGGGGTGGGCACTGACCCTCTCCAACCCAGCTGTGCAGAGATTCCATCAGGGAAAATGGGTGCCAGGCTAACACCCAAGTTGAGTCTTGAGATTTTATTGGATGCTATGTGTTGGGATTGGTTTCCACTGAATTTCTAAGACTTGTGGTGATTATCTCCTTAAATACAATAGAGTATGTCACTGATTATTGTCTGCTTTTGAACAGGAGCTGAGGAATGACCTCAACGCTGTAGACCAAAAGCCTGAGGACTCTGTGTGTTTTACATTAATGATCACACTAAAGCCCACAGTGCAATGTACCTACTCAAACAAACCCTGGGTTAGCTGACCATTGAGACCATCCGATAATGATAGTGTTTGGGATCTGAATAGGTTTTCATTCTTCCAGCACACAGAAGTGCTGGAATAACTTGGCCTAGCAAGAAATTATACCAGGGCTTTGTGACAAATTCAGTGTAGTAGCCCATGGCATTAACCTTCCACTCATTCCCGAGTTCACATGTGTCTCTTCCATTTAAAAGACCAAGAGCTTGGGAAATTCAACTCTGCAGCATGTCCATCTGAGGACTGGGGATATTAAACTTATCTTCAGGTACAGCTGTGGTGGACGATGAATGGGTAGCTGAGTAGCTGGTATTACAGACATGTGCTCCCTGAGTAGCTGGTATTAAAGACATGTGCTTCCTGAGTAGCTGGTATTAGAGACATGTGCTCCCATGCCCAGCTAATTTTGTATTTTTAGTAGAGATGGGGTTTCTCCATGTTGATCAGGCTGGTCTTGAACTCCTGACCTTAGGTAATCCACCCTCCTTGGCCTCCCAAAGCACTGGGATTACAGGCATGAGCCACCGTCTCCAGCCAGAACATTTTGTACGAGGTAAAAAGCAACCTTTCTTCAAAGAGGTGATATAATTCTAGCCAAAATATTCTACATATTCACTAACCTTTGTTTCAAAGAAGACTAAACCAAGATTTGAAAATACTCAATTATCCTACCATTTAAAGATGACCTCTACTTAGCCTGTGATATTTGTCCTTCTGCTCTTTCTTTTAACACTGTGTGTGTGTGTCATGGGGCCCGCTGTTGCTCATACTCACACTGGCTCCAGGAATGGGACAGCCCTTCATGGGTGACAGCAGGTGGGAGCGCTGACCCTCTGTTACCCAGCTGTGCAGAGATTCCAGCAGACAAGATGGGCACCAGGCTAACAGCCAATTGGCTCTGTGAGATCTTGTTGGGTGCTGTGTCTTGGGTATGTGTGCTACTGAATTGGAGCATTTCTAACGTTTGTGGTGATGATCTCATTAAATATAATAGAATATATCTCTGAATGTTCTCTGCCCTTGACCAGGAACTGAGGAATACCCCATCACTTAAGACCAAAGGCCTGGCAGCTCCCTCTGTATGTTTCATATTAATGACCGCACCCAAGTTCACTGTACAATGAACCTACTCAAACTCTGGGTCAGCTGACCATTGAGACCATTCTATTGTGGTATACAGTGCTGGAGATCTTTATAGGCCAACATACTTCCACATACACATAGATGCTAAGGACTCTCTGACATGGTGACAAGTTACACCAGGGCCATGTTATAACTTCAGACTAGTAGCCCACAGCATCACCCTTCCACCCATTCCCGAGTTCATCTATGCCATTTCCATTTAGGAGACCAAAAGCCTGAAAAATTCATCTCTACATCATCTCCATGTGAGGACTTGGGATATTAAACTTACCTTCAGCTACAGCTGTGGTGAGGAATGAATGGGTTGATTTTTTGCAAAAATGCAGTGGTGATCAAATTTTGTTTCTAGAATATCAATCTTTGTGTTGTGCTTTGCATATGGGAACGTATTTTCTGGGGAAAAGCACACAAACTCGCAGAGACATTCACAATCATTCCACATTGACTCATTCCTCCATACCTCCCAACTCTGATTCACAACACCCTCTTCTATCCAAATGACCCTGTTCCTTCCAAGCACCAGAGTCAACGGTCACATTTCTTGACCAGGTTCTTCACTTGTCAAGACAAAAGTGCTTGAACCACATTTCTGGCAGGAAGTTCAAACCAGAGTGGCTCTCCAGAAAAAATGAGGCAAGAAAGTGTCACCTTTGTCAACACTAGAATTTTTCCTCAGCATAGGGGTGATTCCAGAATACGTACTGTCTCTCTCTGTGTCTTTGTCCACCTGCATTTAGAGAAAAACAAAACACTACAAGGGTCAGACCATGCTGTGTCCTGTGTGCACAGGTTTTCCTTTTCCCTCCCTCCCTTCCTTCTTTCTTTCCTTTCTTTTCTTTCTTTTTCTTTCTTTCTCTTTTTCTCTTTCCTTCCTTCTTTCTTTCCCTTCCTTCTTTCTCTTCCTTCTTCCCTTCCCTTCTTCCTTCCTTCCTGCCTCTCTCTCTCTCTCTCTCTCTCTCCCCTACTCCCTCTCTCCCTTCCTCTCTCCCTTTCTTTGCTGGAATTTCGCTCTGTCACCCAGGCTGGAGTACAGTGTTATGATCATGGCTCACTGCAACATCCGCCTCCTGGCCTCAAGCGATCCTGCTCCCTTAGCCTCCCCAGTAGCTGAGATTACAGTAGCCGGTCAGCATGCCCAGCTAATTTTTGTATTTTTAGTAGAGATGGGGTTTCACCATACAAGTCTTTTCTTTACTTGGTGACATTAGAAAAGCAGATGGGAGACAGTGGTTGAGGCAATGGTCCTAAAGCCTCGAAGACACTTCTGGAAAGGCACAAGATTTTTATGCAAGACTTTCAAGATTGTTTTGGTTGTATAGTCACAATGTTGTAAGAAGAAAGCTTTTCCCCTAACAAAAATTCTTTCTGCCATACAGTTCATAACTGAAGGTGTCATCTAAGAATGCCATCTGAGATCATTTCTTACCTGGTAATGACCCTCACATTTTCCCACCAAAATATTCTGTAAGTCATCTATAATGTACATGGTAAGATTTTCATATCTCAATTCAAATAAAATAAAAAAGAACCAAGAGCAACAAAATTTCCATCTCAGAAACATAAAGAAGAACTTACCATATGAACGCCCAGGACATCTTCAGATGAAGCTTCCTGCACCAGGTCCTCATCGTAATCTAGGAAACACAGAGTAACTGTCATCATGTTGGTTCCACTGAAGGAATCCCTTAGGCAACCTTGGATGCTAAGGACAGGGGGCTGGCATGTGTAAAGGAGGTGGGTTAAGGGTAGAAACTTGGCTGCCACTGGGACACCCTCCTGGGTGATGAGGGAAGGCAAATGAGACCATCAGGAAGCCACAGAAGTCAGGACCTGGTTCTCTGGCTAAGCCCCCACACCACTGCAAAAAAGGCAGAGTTCACACAGGGTGGCACACAAATGCACTGCTGATTTCATGACAGTGTCCCATCACCCCCTTGTGCATTTTGAGGCCCGGTAAATTTCTTTTGTTGTTGAAATGTTATAATGTCATTTATCTTTCCTTGATCTACATATGCTCCTCCTGTACTTATCATCCATTTAATTGGCTTTAAAATCAGTATTGTGGCCAAAATACATCATATTTATTATTTTAATAATCAAGTGCACACTTCAGGGGCATCAGTGCCATTCACAATTCTGTGCAGTAAACTAAATGTAATCCAAATCCAGATGTCTTACTTTCCACCTTAGGAAACTAGAGAAAAAAGTGTAGTGTAATGTAAACCAGGCAACACTCCTCCCCCAAAATATAACAATATTTGCAGAAATCAATGTAATAGAAATAATAAAATAAAGAAACTCAACAAAACCAAAAGCTGCTTCTTAGAAAAGATCAATAGAATTGGTAAACCTCCAGCAAGGCTAATCACAAAGAAAATACAGAAGACACGATGTACAAACAATATGAATAGAAGAGGAATTATCCTTGCTGATCCCATAATCATTAAGAAAATAATAACAGAATACTTTCAACAAATCTATGCCTGCAATTTTTTAAGTGCAGGAGTGAAAGTCTATTGAAAAGTTTGAGAGTAGGAATGACAGGAAGCACAGTAGCCTTTGATGAGAACCAAGCAGGCAACTTGTCAGATTCAAGTGTCTACACCCACAAATTTCCTAGCTTAGATGAAATGGACAAATGCCTTCAAAGGGAGAAACTACCATAACCACCCAAAGGAGAGATAGATAATCTGAGTAGGCCTCTATCATTATAGAATTTAATCAGGAAGTAATAACTTAAAAAAAAATGCCCACATAATTGTACTGGTGAATTCTGCCTAACACAATGGAAAACATAGTCTTACCAGCAAGTGATCAAAATTCTACATATTTACCCAGCTAAATTAGAAAATTATGTTCATCTTAAAATCTGCACAAGAATGTGGGCAGCTTTATTCATAATTACCCAAATTGGAAGCAGCTCAGATGGTCTTCAGGCAGTGAGTGAACCAACTAACCCTGTTCGATGAAACCAATGGACTATTGTTCACTGATAAGAATTATTAAGCTGTTAAGCTTCAAAACGATACAAAAGATCTTACATGTATATTGCTAAGTAAAATAAGTTAGTTATACGTAGCTACATACTCTATGATTCCAACTCTATACAATTCTGGAAAAGGAAACCTATAGAGGCAGTAAAATCATCCATAGTTGTCAGGAATCCTCAGAAAAGGAGAGGAATTAGTAGATGCAGCTCAGGTCATGTGTAGGATGTGAAATTATTCCGTCAGGGTGACAAAAGACATTGTCAGTTTGTCAAAACCCATAGGCTGGACAACACAGAGTGAACCTTGATGCTAACCCTAGATTTCTGTTCATAAGAATGTATCACTATTGGCTCAGTCACTGATGCTAACCTTGGACTTCTGTTCATAAGAATGTATCACTATTGGCTCAGTCATTGTTACGAGCGTTATCACACTCACAAAGATGGGATCACCAAAAAATACTGAGGAAGGTGGGTATATGGAAAGTTTTGTTGCCACTTCCTCCATTTTTCGGTTACTTCCAAACAGTTTGAAGTGATGTCCATTACTTTACAAACCTGGCAACACTGTCTCAGAAAAAGATCCTTTTTAATTAATGTTTTAACAATCAGCAAAATGTCTACAATTTGCACTGAGATGTTATTTACTATTAAAAGTAAACCCAAATCTGGAATGGAAATACACCTTTACTCCTCTGGTTGTAGCACTAGTGATTGACTTAACACATTTAAATATGCACACATGAAATAAAGAATATAGCATCGCAATTTTATAATTGTCTGAAATATGAGACACTGAAGAATCTAGAAATCATATCATGAATGAACTGAATGACTGAATTTCCACAACACCTTCCATTGATGCAACTCTAGGGTATATATGGCCGGGATGCCAGTGATACCAGTGATAGGTGATTGGCTTCTCACGCTCGCGGTGGCAGACGGTGGATTCCCCTGGCATCCTAGGATACACTATTTCATCCTCGCCACAACACACTGGGAAATGAATTAAAATAAAGACAGGTGTTGGTGTCTTGCCGCAAAAGATCAGAGAAATGAGTAATTATTTATTCACAGCTTAAATGTTTGATTCCATTGTTCATCATCTGCAGAGCAAAGCCCCCTGAATCTGAGTTGGGCTTCAGAAAGACTTGCACTGTGGGTTGCACGTATAAGTGTGCAGGCAAATGCCTGTATTGAGATGAGACATTACAGAAAGGTAGTAGATTGGAGTGACCAAGAGCATAGGGTCCGGAGCATAGGATCTGAGCTCAGGGACTTCTGAGAAGCTGCTAGAACCTGAGGAAGTTCTATAGATCCCTCTGTGCCTCCTAATGGCCTACGTTATGTTAAAAGGGTAAGAATAGTTAAATGGACCTAAAGCCTTAAAACGGGTGCTTCCTAAGTGCCATAAAGTGTTCAATTATTTCATGTCTGGAAGAATAAGCCAGGCCCTTGGTAGTGGTTAATAGAGAAGCCACTTGGGGGACTCCAGGGCAGTGGAGGCTAAAATTCTTTTCATTCTTGACATGGGTCTCATGCTTTAGAACTCGTGAAAAGTTTTTGTTTGAATTTCCTGTGATGCCCACATAGGCCCAGAGAGATGGGCAGAGCAGGGGCTGCCACTCAGAGGTGACGGTTCAGGGAAGTGAAATGAAGAGATTTGAAGCGACCTGCCTAGGGTCACAACACTGACGAATGATAGATCTGGGACAAGAATTTGGCTGGTTTTCTGGGGACAGAGATCCCTGAATACCTGAGGCCTCTAAATCATGGCCTGGACCCTGAACCTGGAGCTCTTTCCACTCCCTTTCTCAATCCTCCTGCACCAAGGGCTCTTCAGGAAGGTTGATGTATTTGGAAGAGGTGGTGAGTCCAGAAAAAAGCCAAATCATTTAACAAAACAAAACTCCTGTCTCTAGGTTTTAACTCCTGGGCTAAAATATGGCACTTTCCTGCAAACGAAGCCTCTCTGAGGAACAAATTCAAATGTCTGGTCATCCTACCCATTGCCCTGTATTGTCAGCTGTCTGGCAGTGAGCACCCCTCCATGACCAACTGACCACAGCAAGGGACCAAGTTCTGCTTGGCCCCCAAGGTAGTTCGGAACTTAGGACCTTCCAAACTAACTACCACTTGATGGCTGTGCCAAGAATAAACTTCCCTTCAACTGAACCATTCTGAAGAAGCAATTAATGGGAATTAACTGAAAATGTGGCCCCCCAGTGGATTTTTCAGCAGTTTATTCTGTATCTAGTCTATGAAAGAGTGTGTGTGGCGGGGGAGGCCGGGTGTGGTGGCTCACACCTGTATCCCAGCACTTTGGGAGGCCAAGGTGGGCAGATCACAAGGTCAGGAGTTCAAGACCAGCCTGGTCAATATGGTGAAACCCTGTCTCTACTAAAAATACAAAAATTAGCCAGGCATGGTGGCAGGCACCCGTAGTCCCAGCTACTTGGGAGGCTGAGGCAGGAGAATCGCTTGAACCTGGGATGCAGAGGTTGCAAAGAGCTGAGATTGTGCCACTGCACTCCAGCCTGGGTGACAGAATGAGACTCTGCCAAAAAAAAAAAAGAAAAGAAAAGTCCAGGCTCTGTGGCTCATGCCTATAATCCCATCACTTTGGGAGGCCAAGGAAGGTGGATCAGGAGGTCAGAAGTTCAAGACCTCCCTTGCCAACATTGTAAAACCCTGTCTCTACTAAACATACGAAAATTAGCCAGGCGTGGTGGCGGATGCCTGTAATCCCAGCTACTCAGGAGGCTGAGGCAGGAGAATTGCTTAAACCTGGGAGGTGGAGGTTGCTGTGAGCCATTATCACACCACTGCATTCTAGCCTAGGCAACAGAGCAAGACTCTTCCAAAAAAAAAAAAAAAAAAAAAAAAATTGGCATTGGAAGCAGTGTATTTTCTAGAGAAAAGTATTTGAGGCAAAAATCTTGATAGAAGAATAAAAAAACACAAATTGAGTAATAAAACTCTGAAACATATTTATAAATCTGTAGACAAATAGGAGCTGGGGAAATAAAAAAAAATCAGAATGACATTTAACGTACAGGAAAACTGGCTTATCTGAAGAAATTGCAGTCAGAAGATGGAAATGAACATACATACCTTCGAGGCAACAACTATAAGCACATCCCATTGTGAGTCCTCTGAGACAACTAAGCTGCGTTTACTGCCAACGTTCAGTTGCCAGAATGGCAGTTAAAATGAAAGGCAAGACCTATATCATCAGATCACCTCAGCAACAGGTCACAGTAGAATTTTCGCAAGCATCCATGTCACAATATGGGGCCCAACTGCTGTGATCTAGACCAGTCCATTGTCACATCGACAAGGGGTCACTTAGACTCCATGTTTCATTTCAAAAACTGAATCTCAGACACACAGTATTATTCTATGTGTATGAAACAAACATTAAAGGAGGAAAAAGATTTGCCTCTCAAATATATTTGATAGTGAAAATTTCAGGGTAAAGATAAGAAAAGCTAATACATTGAGAATAAAGGGAGATTCCAGGCTTGATGTGAAATGCCTTCCCCACCAATTTCTACTATTCCTGAGTCACCAGAGAGTCCTAGCTTCAACAATTCTAAACTAGCTCCAAATTACATTTAAAATGCATTAGTGTAACTTCAATTTTAAAGCCAATCTCTAACAATATAATTCATAGTAATAAAAAAAGATATGATTCAGTACAACTTTCCATCACTGTTGATTCATCACAAGTTTTAAGAACTATTAAATCAAATGGGTCATTAATGAGGCACAAAAACTGCATTAATAGGGGGTGGAGCCAAGATGGCCGAATAGGAACAACTCCAGTCTGCAGCTCCCAGCATGAGCGATGCAGAATACGAATGATTTCTGCATTTCCAACTGAGGTACCAGGTTCATCTCATTGGGGATTGTAGGACAGTGGGTGCAGGACAGTGGGTGCAGCGCACTGAGTGTGAGCCGAAGCAGGGCAAGGCATTGCCTCACCCGGGAAGTGCAAAGGGTCAGGGAATTCCCTCCCCTAGCCAAGGAAAGGGATGACAGACAGCACCTGGAAAATCAGGTCACTCCCACCCTAATACTGCGCTTTTCCAATGGTCTTAGCCAACGGCACACCAGGAGATTATATCCTGCACCTGGCTCGGAGGGTCCTACGCCCATGGAGCCTCGCTCATTGCTAGCACAGCAGTCTGAGATCAAACTGCAAGGCTGCAGCGAGGCTGGGGTAGGGGCGCCCGCCATTGCCCAGGCTTGAGTAGGTAAACAAAGTGGCTGGGAAGCTCTAACTGGGTGGAGCCCACCGCAGCTCAAGGAGGCCTGCCTGCCTCTGTAGACTCCACCTCTGGGGGCAGGGCATAGCCAAACAAAAGGCAGCAGAAACCTCTGCAGACTTAAATGTCCCTGTCTGACAGCTTTGAAGAGAGTAGTGGTTCTCCCAGCACACAGTTTGAGATCTGAGAACGGACAGACTGCCTCCTCAAGTGGGTCCCTGACCCCCGAGTAGCCTAACTGGGAGGCACCACCCAGTAGGGGCAGACTGACACCTCACATGGCCAGCTACTCCTCTGAGACAAAACTTCCAGAGGAACAATCAGGCAGCATCATTTGCTGTTCCTCAATATTCGCTGTTCTGCAGCCTCCACTGCTGACACCCAGGCAAACAAGGTCTGGAGTGGACCTCCAGCAAACTCCAACAGACCTGCAGCTGAGGGTCCTGGCTGTTAGAAGGATAACTAACAAACAGAGAAAGGACATCCACACCAAAACCCCATCTGTATGTCACCATCATCAAAGACCAAGGGTAGATAAAACCACAAAGATGGGGAAAAACAGAGCAGAAAAACTCAAAATTCTAAAAATCAGAGTGCCTCTCCTCCTCCAAAGGAACGCAGCTCCTCACCAGTAACAGGACAAAGCTGGATGGAGGATGACTTTGACGAGTAGAGAAGAAGGATTCAGATGATCAAACTTCTCCGAGCTAAAGGAGGAAGTTCAAACCAATGGCAAAGAAGTTAAAAACCTTGAAAAAAGATTAAATGAATGGCTAACTAGAATAACCAATGCAGAGAAGTCCTTAAATGACCTGATGGAGCTGAAAACCATGGCATGAGAACTATGTGACAAATGCACAAGCCTCAGTAGCCAATTCGATCAACTGGAAGAAAGGGTATCAGTGATGGAAGATCAAATGAATGAAATGAAGCGAGAAGAGAAGTTTAGAGAAAAAAGAATAAAAAGAAACAAACAAAGCCTCCAAGAAATATGGGACTATGTGAAAAGACCAAATCTATGTCTGATTGGTGTACCTGAAAGTGACGGGGAGAATGGAACCAAGTTGGAAAACACTCTGCAGGATATTATCCAGGAGAACTTCCCCAATCTAGCAAGGCAGGCCAACATTCAAATTCAGGAAATACAGAGAATGCCACAAAGATACTCCTCGAGAAGAGCAACTCCAAGACACATAATTGTCAGATTCACCAAAGCTGAAATGAAGGAAAAAATGTTAAGGGCAGCCAGAGAGAAAGGTCAGGTTACCCACAAAGGGAAGCCCATCAGACTAACAGCTGATCTCTCGGCATAAACTCTACAAGCCAGAAGAGAGTGGGGGCCAATATTCAACATTCTTAAAGAAAAGAATTTTCAACCCAGAATTTCATATCCAGCCAAACTAAGCTTCATAAGTGAAGGAGAAATAAAATCCTTTACAGACAAGCAAATGCTGAGAGATTTTGTCACCACCAGGCCTGCCCTACAAGAGCTCCTGAAGGAAGCACTAAACATGGAAAGGAACAACCGGTACCAGCCACTGCAAAACCATGCCAAATTGTAAAGACCATCAAGGCTAGGAAGAAACTGCGTCAACTAACGAGCAAAATAACCAGCTAACATCATAACGACAGGATCAAATTCACACATAACAATATTAACCTTAAATGTAAATGGGCTAAATGCTCCAATTAAAAGACACAGACTGGCAAATTGGATAAAGAGTCAAGACCCATCAGTGTGCTATATTCAGGAAACCCATCTCACGTGCAGAGACACACATAGGCTCAGAATAAAGGGATGGAGGAAGATCTACCAAGCAAATGGAAAATAAAAAAAGGCAGGGGTTGCAATCCTAATCTCTGATAAAACAGACTTTAAACCAACAAAGATCAAAATAGACAAAGAAGGCCATTACATAATGGTAAAGGGATCAATTCAACAAGAACAGCTAACTATCCTAAATATATATGCACCCAATACAGGAGCCCCCAGATTCATAAAGCAAGTCCTTAGAGACCTACAAAGAGACTTAGACTCCCACACAATAATAATGGGAGACTGTAACACCCCACTGTCAACATTAGACAGATCCACGAGACAGAAAGTTAACAAGGATATCCAGGAATTGAACTCAGCTCTGCACCAAGCAGACCTAATAGACATCTACAGAACTCTCCACCCCAAATCAACAGAATATACGTTCTTCTCAGCACCACATCGCACTTATTCCAAAACTGACCACATAGTTGGAAGTAAAGCACTCCTCAGCAAATGTAAAAGAACAGAAGTTATAACAAACTGTCTCTCAGACCACAGTGCAATCAAACTAGAACTCAGGATTAAGAAACTCACTCAAAACCACTCAACTACATGGAAACTGAACAACCTGCTCCTGAATGACTACTGGCTACATAACAAAATGAAGGCAGAAATAAAGATCTTCTTTGAAACCAACGAGAACAAAGACACAACATACCAGAATCTCTGGGACACATTTAAAGCAGTGTGTTAGAGGGAAATTTATAGCACTAAATGCCCACAAGAGAAAGCAGGAAAGATCTAAAATTAACACCCTAACATCACAATTAAAAGAACTACAGAAGCAAGAGGAAACACATTCAAAAGCTAGCAGAAGCAAGAAATAACTAAGATCAGAGCAGAACTGAAGGAAACAGAGACACAAAAAGCCCTTCAAAAAATCAATGAATCCAGGAGCTGGTTTTTTGAAAAGATCAACAAAATTGATAGACTGCTAGCAAGACTAACAAGAAAAGAGAGAAGAATCAAATAGAGGCAATAAAAAATGATAAAGGGGAGATCACCACCGATCCCACAGAAATACAAATGACCGTCAGAGAATACTATAAACACCTCTACACAAATAAACTAGAAAAACTAGAAGAAATGGATAAATTCCTCGACACATACACCTTCCCAAGACTAAACCAGGAGGAAGTTGAATCTCTGAAAAGACCAATAACAGGCTCTGAAATTCAGGCAATAATTAATAGCTTACCAACCAAAAAAAGTCCAGGACCAGATGGATTCACAGCCGAATTCTACCAGAGGTACAAGGAGGAGCTGGTACCATTCCTTCTGAAACTATTCCAATCAATAGAAAAAGAGAGAATCCTCCCTAATTCATTTTCTGAGGCCAGCATCATCCTGATACCAAAGCCTGGCAGAGACACAACAAAAAAGAGAATTTTAGACCGATATCCCTGATGAACATTGATGCAAAAATCCTCAATAAAATACTGGCAAACCGAATCCAGCAGCACATCAAAAAGCTTATCCAACATGATCAAGTGGGCTTCATCCCTGGGATGCAAGACTGGTTCAACATATGCAAATCAATAAATGTAATCCAGCATATAAACAGAACCAAAGACAAAAACCACATGATTATCTCAATAGATGCAGAAAAGGCCTTTGACAAAATTCAACAGCCCTTCATGCTAAAAACTCTCAATAAATTAGTTATTGATGGGACGTATCTCAAAATAATAAGAGCTATGTATGACAAACCCACAGCCAATATCATACTGAATGGGCAAAAACTGGAAGCATTCCCTTTGAAAACTGGCACAAGACAGGGATGCCCTCTCTCACCACTCCTCTTCAACATAGTGTTGGAAGTTCTGGCCAGGGCAATCAGGCAGAAGGAAATAAAGGGTATTCAATTAGGAAAAGAGGAAGTCAAATTGTCCCCGTTTGCAAATGACATGATTGTATATCTAGAAAACCCCATCGTCTCAGCCCAAAACCTCCTTAAGCTGATAAGCAACTTCAGCAAAGTCTCAGGATACGAAATCAATGTACAAAAATCACAAGCATTCTTATACACCAATAACAGACAAACAGAGAGCCAAATCATGAGTGAACTCCCATTCACAATTGCTTCAAAGGGAATAAAATACCTAGGAATCCAACTTCCAAGGGATGTGAAGGGTCTCTTCAAGGAGAACTACAAACCACTGCTCAATGAAATAAAAGAGGATACAAACAAATGGAAGAACATTCCATGCTCATGGGTAGAAAGAATCAATATTGTGAAAATGGCCATACTGCCCAAGGTAATTTATAGATTCAATGCCATCCCCATCAAGCTACCAATGAATTTCTTTACTGAATTGGAAAAAACTACTTTAAAGTTCATATGGAACCAAAAAAGAGCCCGCATTGCCAAGTCAATCCTAAGCCAAAAGAACAAAGCTGGAGGCATCATGCTACCTGACTTCAAACTATACTACAAGGCTACAGTAACCAAAACAGCATGGTACTGGTACCAAAACAGAGATATAGACCAATGGAACAGAACAGAGCCCTCAGAAATAATGCCACATATCTACAACTATCTGATCTTTGACAAACCTGACAAAAACAAGAAATGGGGAAAGGATTCCCTATATAATAAATGGTGCTGGGAAAACTGGCTAGCCACATGTAGAAAGCTGAAACTAGATCCCTTCCTTACACCTTTTACAAAAATTAATTCAAGATGGATTAAAGACTTAAATGTTAGACTTAAACCATAAAAACCCTAGAAGAAAACCTAGGCAATACCATTCAGAACATAGGCATGGGCAAGGACTTCATGTCTAAAACACCAAAAGCAATGACAACGAAAGCCAAAATTAACAAATGGGATCTAATTAAACTAAAGAGCTTCTGCACAGAAAAGAAACTACCATCAGAGTGAACAGGCAACCTACAGAATGGGAGAAAAATTTTTGCAATCTACTCATCTGATAAAGGGCTAATATCCAGAATCTACAAAGAACTCAAACAAATTTACAAGAAAAAAACAACCCCATTAAGAAGTGGGCAAAGGATACAAAGAGACACTTCTCAAAAGAAGACATTTATGCAGCCAACAGACACATGAAAAAATGCTCATCATCACTGGCCATCAGAGAAATGCAAATCAAAACCACAATGACATACCATCTCACACCAGTTAGAATGGTGATCTTTAAAAAGTCAGGAAACGACAGGTGCTGGAGAGGATGTGGAGAAATAGGAACACTTTTACACTGTTGGTGGGACTGTAAACTAGTTCAACCATTGTGGAAGAGAGAGTGGCGATTCCTCAGGGATCTAGAACTAGAAATACCATTTGACCCAGCCATCCCATTACTGAGTATATACCCAGAGGATTATAAGTCATGTTGCTATAAAGACATGCACACGTATGTTTATTGTGGCACTATTCACAATAGCAAAGACTTGGAACCAACCCAAATGTCCAACAATGATAGACTGGATTAAGAAAATGTGGCACATATACACCATGGAATACTATGCAGCCATAAAAAATGATGAGTTCATGTCCTTTGTAGGGACATGGATGAAGCTGGAAACCATCATTCTCAGCAAACTATAGCAAGGACAAAAAACCAAATACCACATGTTCTCACTCATAGGTGGTAATTGAACAATGAGAACACATGCACACAGGAAGGGGAACATCACACACCGGGGCCTGTTGTGGGGTGGGGGGTGGGGGGAGGGATAGCATTAGGAGATATACTTAATGTTAAATGACAAGTTAATGGGTGCAGCACACCAACATGGCACATGTATACATATGTAACAAAACTGCACGTTGTGCACATGTACCCTAAAACTTATAGTATAATAAACAAAAAGTAAAAAATAAAAAAAAAACAAAAAAAACTGCATTAACATAGATGTTGCAATTTTTTTCAGGAATTATCTAATTGAAGGGGTGGTTAACAGAATTTGGGAAGGAACACATATTACCTGTGTAAATGGAGAATTTTAATTGTCAACAACTGAATAGAAAATTGGGCAGGTGTGCACATATATATATACACATATATGAGAGAGAGTGAGAAAACTCAATTAAAAAATACTAGACCACAGATTTATATCTCTTAATGCCAAATTGGGAAATACTTTTTTTTTTTTTTTTTTCTTGAGATGGAGTCTCGCTCTGTCACCCAGGCTGGAGTGCAGCGGCACGATCTCGGCTCACTGCAACCTCTGCCTCCCAGGTTCACGCCATTCTCCTGCCTCAGCCTCCCGAGTAGCTGGGACTACAGGCGCCCGCCACTGTGCCCAGCTAATTTTTTGTATTTTTAGTAGAGACAGGGTTTCACCGTGTTATCCAGGATGGTGTCGATCTCTTGACCAAGTGATCCACCTGCCTCGGCCTCCAAAAGTGTTGGTATTACAGGCGTGAGCCACTGTGCCCAGCCCCTAGAAAAGACATTTTTAAAAACAGAATATGTTAGGAAGAATAAAAAGGAATGAACATAAGGCTTTCCTTCCTGGTGCCACCTAAGTGTTCACAGTAAATGAAAATAAATGAGTCTTTTACACTGGTAGCCAAAGTCCTTTGACAAAGCTTTGTCACGGTGTCAGTGCTGTATGATTGTTCAATTAATAAATCTGGAAAGATGTGCAGAAACTTAACAGTTGTTACTTCCAGAGGCAGAAGCTGGCAGGCTACAGAAGAGGAAAAGACAAGTCCAGATTTTGGTGTGCATTCTTCTGTACCTCGTGAATGTCCTACAAGTGTGTTATTCCTGATGTCTTTACTGTGATTATTTTTAAATAAAAAAAACTAATACCCCCAAATGCTGGTAGAAAACAAACATTTCAATTTGCTAATGCTTCACAGGGACAAGAATTCAGGTAAGACACAGAAAAGATAGCTTATTGCTCCTTGTTGATGTCTGGGGACTGCAGAGAAGTCTTATGGAGCGGGACTGAATCCACAGCAGGAGGTTGGAATCATCTGGATATGCCGTCATGCACAGGTCTGCAGAGGAACTTGGGCTTGGCTGGAGAACTTACACGACTACCACCCACACTTCCACACCCGCTCAGCCCAGCTGCAGCAGCTTGGCCAAGATAATGGGCGCTCCTGCTCAAACGAGATTTCCCAGCTTTTGCGGAGTTCATCACCAGCCTCGCTAGCAGCGAATTCCCACTTCTATGCAAAGGAAACTGCCAACGAGGTTACAATCAATTTTTTTTTTTTCCTAGAGTGAGGCCTGGCCGGAAAAGGGCAGGCCATCCTAGTGGCCTGTGAATGACCTTGTGAGGGTCACCAGGCCCCCTCGGCTGCAGGGCTCCAGAGCCCTCCCCTGGCTGACTACATCATGCACTGGCCCTAGCCTGGGGTGATGAGGCCAAGGCATCACCAGCTTTGACCCTGATGCCTCTGGCCTGGGCAACTGTCCCCTGTGCACTCAGCAATGCACATGCTAATTTAATCCAATCTGTCAGCCCAGGCACCTGGAGCTGAAATGGCCTGCCCACTTTTGCCCCACCCCAGCCCCTTTTCAACATTAACCTTGAGAGTCCGTGGCGCGTTCTTTGTGAGTGGGCCAGCTCCAGGTGCTTCACCCACATCGCGTACTTCATCAAAACCACTGTCAGAGGTAGGGCCTGTTAGGATCACTGTCTCACAGAGGAGGAAACTGAGGCAGAGACCGGGTAGGTACCCCAACTGAGGACACACAGAGAATAAGCTAGGATGGAACCTGCTGGCAGGCCCGGACTCCTCTGCTCAGTGACAGCCACGCAGAGAAGCCGGGGCACCTTAAGCTGCCATCCCTGTGCCACTTACCCACCTGCTTGTGGCCCAGGCCAAAAACATCCCCATAAATAACCATCCGCAGCTGCCCTCAGCCTCCTCTAGAAGGCAGGTGCCCCAGAAGCTTCCTCACAAGCTCTTTGACATTTCAGCGATATGTGGGTGGCTGAGGAGCCCTGAAACCAGGTGAAGGTCTGGGAAGGTGAGACGGGGGATTTAGCTCAGGCAGTGCCCTCTGGCAGGGGCAGGCACTGCAATGGGCACCTACTTGGGAGGAACACCTGACGTGGTTTTCCCGATGCTCGATGCTCGGGGCCTCACACTCATCCTTGCTGGACATAGAGAACTAACTGAGCTTCGAGGGGTCCTTCCCTCAGACCTGCCAGGTCCTGGTGCCACCAAACACTTAAGAATGTGGACGTGACAAAGTTAAAGAGGTGAGTGCCTGTGCACACCAGTGACATGGGACTTACAGCTGGGGACGGGTCAGGGCAGCCCTGGTGGAGCAGCTGCCATATGGGGCACCCCCTGCAGTGTCAGTATCAGATGTGTCTCCACCTTCCCAGGGTAGACTGTGGGGTAAAGCTGGGCTCCTCTGAGACCCACTGCAGCTCTGGGGCAGAAAGGGGTCTGGATATATCGTCATCACAGGCTGAGAGGAGCAATGTGGGTGATGTGGCAGTCAAGGTCCCAGGCGGGGCTGACATGGACTCTGGAGCAGAGTCCAGGGGGAGCTTGGGAAGTGAGCACAAAAAGGCCTGAGGGTCTGTTGGGGTGGAGGGTAAAAAGAAATCTGGAAACCTCTAGAGCAGATTCCAGCCCAGCACAGACTGAAGGTCACACAAGCCCAGGGCACAGCCAGGCAGCCCAGTGCTGGGGCACAAGTCCCCTGCATCTGCACACTGCTATACAACCTCAGAAACCTCAATTAAAACAGACCTCAACTTCAAGAGCAAAAATTTCCATAGCTGCTCTGGGCCCAGTGAGATGGCATGTGAACATGTGGCCTGGGGCCAAGGAGGATAGCTGTGAACACCTGTGCCGGGACCAAGGAGGATGGCTGTGGACACCTGGGCTAGGCCCAAGAGGACAGCTTGGAATAACTGGGATGGGCCCAGAACGTAGGGCTACGAACACCTGGGCTGGCCCCAATGTGGACAGCTAGAAACCGCTGGTATGCGCTCAGGAGTTCTGTTCATTTTGGCTGAGCCAAAGGAAGACACGTGTGAACATCTGCACTGGGCCTAATTAAGACAATGGTGAACAGCTGGGCTGTCCCCATTGAGGATGTCTGTGAAACCCTGGCCTGGGACCATGGAAACTGCTGGAAACAACTGGGAGAAGTCCTGTGACAAAAGCCATGAACACCAGGGCTAGGCTCAATGGGGACAGGTGTGGACACCTGGGCTGGGCTCAGTGTGGATGGCTGTCGGTACCTGGGATGGCCTCTATGAGGGTGGCTGGCTCCAATTAGCACACGTGTAAGCAAACTGGCTGGCCTTGATGAGGACGGCTAGGGACATCTGGGCTGGCTGTCACGTGGATGACAGAGATCTTCTTGGCTGGCTTAGATGAGGACCACTGTGAACACCGGCGCAGGCCTGGATGAAGACAGCTGGGAAGCCCTGGGCTGGAAACAATGAAGACAGCTATGAACAGGTGGCCTGGGGCCAGTGAAAATGGCTCTTAACCCTGGGCTTGATGTTACTGAGGGGTAGCGTGAACTCCTGGGCTTGCCTTGATATTGACAGCCATCAAAAACTGTTGCTATAATAAACTGAGTTCATACAAACAAGGAAGGCTGTGAACCCCTGGGCTGACCTTGATGGGGATGGCTGCAAACACCTGGCCTGGGCCCAGTGAGGACAGCTATGAAGGGCTAGGCAGGGCCCAGCGAGGTCAGCATGGAACTCCTGGGCTGGCCCAATAAGGATGTCTGTGAACACTGGTCTGGCCCACTGAGGACAAGGACTAACACCTGGGCTAGCTACCAATGAGGATAGCTGTGAACGCCTTGGCTGGGCCCTCTAAGGACAGCTTGGAGTGTTTGGACTCGGCCCAGAGTAAACAGCTGTGAAGCCCTGAGCTGGACCCAGTGAGGGTGGCTATGGAAACCTGGGCTGGGCCAGTGAGGACAGCTGTGAACACCTGGCCTGGGTCCAACGAGAACAGCTGAGAACACTTGGGCTAAGCCAATAAGGACAGCTGTGGCACCGGGGACGATTGCCCTGAAGACAGCTGTTAACATCGTGGCTGGTCGCCTTGAGCACAGCTATGAATGTCTAGGCTGGGCCCAATGAAGACAGCCAAAAACACCTGCCCTGGTTTCAGTGAGAGCCACTGTGAGCACTTGGGCCTGTCCCCATGAGGATGCCTATGAACAGCTGGCTGGGCCCAAGATGAATGGCTCTTGACACCTAAACTCAGCCCTAGAAAGATGCTGTGAACAACTGGGCTAATCCCACTGATGATGACTATTAACGCCTGGGCTGGGCCCAAGTGAGGGCGACTTCGGCTGGACCCGGAAAAAATGGCTGTGAACACCTTGGCTTTGCCTGATGAAGATGGCTATGAACCCATGGCCTGGGCCCAATGAGGAAAGCTGTGAACACCTGCGCTAGCCCCAGTGAGGGAAGCTGGGAAAACCTGGGCTGGGCCCAGTAAAAGCAGCAGCGAACAACCAGGCTGGCCTCAGGAGGACAGCTTTGAACACTGAAACTGATCATGATGAGGATGGCTGTGAATACCTGGGCTGGCCCAGATGAGGAGCACCATTAACTCCTGGGCTCGCCCCCAATTAGAACAGCCATGAACACCTGGTCTTGCTCAAGTAATGATTGCAAGGAACAACTAGGCTCAGCCAGTGAGGACAGCTGTGAACCCCTGCACTGAGACAAATGAGGATGGCTGGGAACACCTCAGCTGGCCCCAGTGAGGATGGCTATGGATACCTGAGCTGTGCTCCATGGGGATGGCAATGTACACCAAGGTTCGGCCAAGTGACAGTTCTGAGAAACCTGGCTGACACCAGTGAAGACCGCTGTGAAAGCATGGGCTGCTCCCAGTTAAGACAGCTTTGCATACCCGGTCTGGGCCCAGTCAGATCGAGTGTCAACATCTGGCCTGGGGCCAAGGAGGATAGCTCTGAACACCTGTGCTGGACCAATGAGGATGGCTGTGGACACCTGGGCTGGGCCCAAGGAAACAGCTTGGAATAACGGATTGGCCCAGAATGCATGGCTACCAACACCTGGGCTGACCCCAATGTGGAAAGCTATAAATACGTGATGTGGGCTCAGGAGAACAGCCTTGTTCCTTTTGGCTGAGCCCTGTGAGGCAGCTATGGGCATCTGCACTTGGCCTAATTAAGACAACGGTGAACATCTGGGCCATCCCCATTGAGGACACCTGTCAACACCTGGCCTGGGACCATGTGAATTGCTCAGAACACCTGGATTAAGTCCAGTGAGGAAAACTATGAACACCCGGGCTATGCCCACTGAGGACAGCTGTGGACACATGGGCTGGGCCCAGTGAGGATGCCTGTAAATACCTGAGATGACCTCTATGAAGGTGGCTGGCCCCAATAAGCACGAGTGTGAACAAACTGGCTGGCCTCGATGAGGACGGCTAGGGACATCTGGGCTGGCTATCGTGTGGATGGTAAGAGAACACCTTGGCTGGCTTAGATGAGGACCACTGTGAACACCTTTGCAGGCCTGGATGAAGCCAGCTTTGAAGCCCCGAGCTGGGCACAATGAAGACAGGTATGAACAGGTCATCTGGGGCCAATGAAAATGGCTCTCAAACCCTGGGCTTGATGCCATTAAGGAGAATGGCGAACACCTGGGCTTGCTTTGCTTTTGATTGCTATGAAAAACTTAGCTCATGCAAATGAGGACCCACAGTTGTGAGCCACTGTGCCCCGCCCTACTTTGTATTATTAAAACACATGCCAAACCGGGCGTCGTGGCTCTTGCCTGTGATCTCAGCACTTTGGGTGGTGGAGACGAGTGGATCGAGGTCTGAAGTTCAAGGCCAGCGTGGCCAAGATGCTGAAACCCCACCTCTACTTAAAATACAAATACTACCCGGGTGTAGTGGCAAGTGCATGTAATCCCAGCTACTCAGGAGGCTGAGGCAGGAGAATCGCTTGAACTCGGGCGGCAGAGGTTGCATTGAGCCAAGACTGTGCCACTGCACTCCAGCCTGGGCAGCAGAGAGAGACTGTCTCAAAAAAACAAAATAAAACAAAAAACAAACAGAAAAACATGCCAATAGGATAAAAAAAAAAAAAAAGACAAGTACTGAGCTTTAAAATGAGTTGAAATCTCCTTTCTGCCACTTCCTATATATAAAAAAACTATCCTAATCTCTTTGAGTCTCACGTTCTCTATCTAGAGAAACACTTGACCAGAATGTTTAACACAGGTTAAAGTACTAGAGGTTATTTTAATTTGTCCTATGATTCCTTAAAATTCTGTAATTCTATGTGCTTTTGATTCTGTCTATAAGAAAACTGGGAATACATAGTCAGCAGATTTTGAAAAAATAATATAACGAAAGACCAAGAAAAGCAGAGAAGAAAGTTTTACAACATCAAGACAGGATTATAGAAATGTCATGGAAAAAGGAAAAAGTCTTAAAAAAAGTATTATGGAATTAAGCAGAAGTACTAGCCTAAAGGGAAAACCAAACTGGGAAGTCAAATAATTTCTGAGACTTGTCTAATCTTGCTTTTGTAAAATTATAATCCTATGGCCAAACCTTTACCTTGCCCTAAAGCCTCTGATAGTAAAATAAGATATTGGCTACCACTGAAACTGTCAAATTTATGAGGAGAAACTCTTGGACTAACCACATTTCTAACAATAACCTTAAATGAGAGTTAACATACAACTAGATTTGACTGTCTAAATTAATCTGATTCAGACGTGTACCTTGATCCAAGTGCTGCACAGATTTCTATCAATCTATGCTGAGGAGCAAGATAAGGGATCTGGAAGCCAGACAGGCTGATGGTTTAACTGTGGGTCGGCTACTTTGTTAACTACAGGATCATGAGCCAATTAATCAACCTCTAAACCACAGTCGCCTATGTAATAAACAGTAGGTTATAAGAACACAGATGTTGCGATGGCTTTATGGGATGATAAATGCATAGCACACAATAGGGGTTTAGCCCAGAATACAACACTCAACAGATATGAATCTCTTCCATCTATATTTCCTTAGTTAACATAATTTTTTAAATCTGTAAAATCCTACCTGACTGCATATTCATCAGAACTCCCAGAATCTATTAAAGAAAAAGGTATACTGCATTATAAATCAATAATAATTGTATAGAATATTAAAAGCATAAGAAGGCACAGTGATACATGCCTGTATTCCCAACTACTTGGGAGGCTGAGGCAGGAGGATCACTTGAGGAACCCAGAAGTTTGAGGCCAGCTTGGGAAACAGCAAGACTCTACCTTCACAAAAAAGTTATGCACACTTGTGTGCAGACTTCAGACCATGTTTTTTTCTTTTCTTTTCTTTTCTTTTCTTTTTTTAAAGCATAGGACTGATGCTTTGTTATAAAGCATTCCTTTGGGAGCATAACCGGGACCTTATTAGAATTAATATTAATTATACCTATTAGTAGATAATTAATGCAGTAAGAACTCTTACTTCCCTTACTTTGTATTTATTAAATGCAAAGAAGAATAAATTTATAAAATTTGATATCTACAAGTGAACCGCAGTATACAAGTTATCCTAGCCAAACCCTATGAGATTGACTAAAAATGGTATTGTTAGCAGAACAGGTGTGATGAATGAACAGTGTCAAAGAGCATGATTTCAGGACCAAAACATGACGGGCAGTTCAAACAGAGTATACAGTAGTACCCCTTGTCCACTGTATGTGTGGAAAAGACACATTTGACCTGTTTTTCTCTGCTGTCACGTCACAGCAACAATCATCAACAAAGAAGTCTCCTGTGACAAAACGTGGGGAGGGTTTTTCTCCACCAACAAGTAAGCAATCATTTCTGCAGATGACACAAACTGGGCATCCTCTTAAGTCAATTCTCACACTCTATCTGCAGATAGCATCAGATTGCACAGGTAAAGGGCTCAGTCCCATGAAACTGCCTCCCTACATCAGTCGTAGGTCTGAAACTCCAGAACTTCTGGCCAACTGTCTTCAAATTGGGGTTCCCAGGACTCCCTCTTTGGGTTAAATTGAATTGCTAGAGTGGCTCAAAGTACTCAGGGAAACACATTTACCAGTTTTCTATGAATGACATTACAAAAGATACAGATGAAGAGATGCATAGTGCAAAGTATGGGGGAGGTGGCACAGAGATTCCATGCCCTCCCAGGACACACCACCCTGTAGGAGCCTCCATGCATTCAGCCATCTGGAAGCTCTCCAAGCCCAGTCACTTTGGGTCTTGATGAAAGCTTCATTATATTGGCATCACTGGCCTTTGGTGACTGACAACCTTCAGCTCTTCTCTCCTCTCCAGAGTCTCCTGAATGAGACAGAAGATCTCAACACTCTAATCAATCATGTCTTCAGGATGGTGACCAGTTCCCATCCTGAAGCTACCTAGGGGCTTCCAGCCATCGATCATTAGCATACAAAAAAACATCACTTTGGAAATCCTAAGGATTTTAAGAATTGTACCCAACAAATGAGTTAAGATCCAGAGATTTTACATCTGCAGTTTTGATTTCTGTGGTTACAGTTACTAATAGTCAACTGTATTCCAAAAATATACACGGAAAACTCCAGAAATAAAGAGGTCATAAGTTTTAGTGTGCCATTCCGAGAAGCACAGTGAAACCGTCAGCACCCTCTATCCAGCCCAGGATGTGAATCGTCCTGCAGTGCACCTACACTGCACATGCTGTCCACCCGTTAGTCATCAACACGGTCTCCTCCTGTACCCTGCCGCCAACATCAAGGCCTGACTATCTAGGATCACGTCATTCACCTCAGTTCATCTCATTACACGGGCATTGTATCACTTCATATCATAACAAGAAAAAGGGTGAGAACCAGCCGGGTGCAGTGGCTCACACCTGTAATCCCAGCACTTTGGGAGGCCGAGGCGGGCAGATCACGACGTCAGGAGATCAAGACCATCCTGGCTAACACGGTGAAACCCCATCTCTACTAAAGAAATAAAAAAAAAAAAAATTAGCCAGGCTTTGTGGCGGGTGCCTGTAGTCCCAGCTACTCCAGAGGCTGAGGCAGCAGAATGGTGTGAACCCAGGAGGCAGAGCTTGCAGCGAGCCGAGATCACAGCATTGCACTCCAGCCTGGGCGACAGCGAGACTCCGTCCCCCCCCCCCCAAAAAAAAGGGTGAGAACCGTGCAATATATTTCAAGAGACCACATTCAAGTAACTTTTATTACAGTATAATTTTTTATTTTATTGTTCATTTCTTACTGTGCCTAATTTATACATTAAATATTATCATGGTTATGTATGTGTAGGAAAAACCAGTGGGTGATTCGGTACTATTTGTGGTCTCAGGCATTCACTGGGGGTGTCTTAGAATGTTATCTCCCATAGTTAATGGGGAACTACTGCACTTATTTTGTTGTAACACAACACAGCCTCTCTAGCTCTTCAGTTAAAACTTTTCAGTTTAGAATAAAACACCCTATCACCAGCAGCCAGCAGAACATAGGAATCAGACCAGCAACAGGGATCCTTGCAAAAACTTTCCAGCTGCCAGTGGAGAAGAGCTCAAGAGAGCTCAATGTGTTACTCTGGATACTACTCTTCTGGGGAAGGTGCTGGGTGGTTTCCTTAGTTGTAGCTATATACTCTGCCCCACGTATAACAAGGCCCAAATTCACCTGCCATTTTACCTCCCACAGAAAGAACCACTGGAAAGATCACTCCTTTAAGAGCTTATCCACTCGGAACCACGCCTCACATTCAGAGAGAAGCTTAAGAAACACCGGCGTGGTATGCCAGGCTGCCAGGCAGTACTATATGATATGAAAAATATACAGAAAGAAAACTATCAATGCCCTCTTGCTGCCAGAATGTTCCAATGCTTGCCCCTTTCCCTAGTAGGAGAAAAAAATTCTTTTTCACCTCACACAAAGCAAAACTGCCGTCCCTCATGACACAGAATCTAGTTGCAGGTGAGTCATGTCATCATAACACAGACTGTTTTCAAAGTCATCCCTCAAAGGAAGAGGATCAGTGAGGAACATATGTATTTATCTATAACATTCACTGCCTGGTCTTATTTCCAACCCAAGGTAAGTATGAAAGACTTTGTGATTCCAGTTTTTTAAAGTACAACCTCTTGAGCTTCTCCCCTTCCATTGCTAGGGAGTCTATCTGGACCCACCTCACTGGAGCAAGATGCTCCAGTTTGTGCTGTGTGGTATTGCATGGTGTCATTTTCCTCAACCCTTTCCATTATGTGGCAAAGGCCTATACAAATCATGTTTCCTAAGTATGTAAAGCATATGTCATCAGACCTTACAAAGACAAAGAAGCTAAAGAAAAACAAAAGGACAAAGAACATCTTAAATGACTACATTCAATTACCATGGAACTTTACTTTTTTAACTATTCAAAAAGATATCCATTGTATTATTTCAACTATATGACTCTCCTGAAAAAAGTAAAACTATGAAGACAGATAAAAGATCAGTGGTTTCCAGCAGCTGCTAGGGAGAAAGGGAGAGATGAACAGGCAGAGAATAGAGCATTTTTAGGGCAGTGAAACTGTTCTATCTATAATAAATAGACACATGTCATTATACATTTGTCCAAATTCACAGAATGTACAGTATTAAGAATGGAGCCTGATGTCAACTATGAACTTTGAGTGATTATAATGTGTCAATGTAGGATCATCAGTTGTAACAAATGTACCACTCTGGTGGAAAATACTAATCATGGGGGAGGCCATGCATGTGTGGGAGGCATGGAACATAGGAGAAATCTCTGTACCTTCCTCCGATTTTGCTGTGAACCTAAAACTGCTATAAGAAATAGAGTTACTGATTTAAAAAACATATTCATTGTCTATGCATCCCAGGATTTCCAGAACAAAAATAAAAAATAAAAGATATTCACTGAATCTGTTATTATGATATATTTAAGCAGGACACAGTGGTAACCCTAAAAATTGGAGATCATTAAAGACCAAAGTAACAGCATGTGGGCATGATTTCTCAAATCGCAGTATAGAAAATACATAAAACAAATAGATTCAATTGCAAGCTTAGGCAAGAAAATATTGATAAAATGATTGAATATCTTATTTCATAACTCTAAACAGGGATTTAGCACGACATGAAAACTAGATTCACATAATCAAAATAAAAGACCATTTTTATTCTAATTTTAACTCAGAAATTATTATGCTTATTCAATTTAACACTTTCACTGAAAGGTTAAAGAGATAAGAAGGACAGATTATAATTGCTTAATATTGCTATGGTAACTTCCATTCAAATACCTGTGAGTCACCAGAAGTCAAAAAGGTAGCCAGCATTGCAACACAGGATGGATCATGCAACAGAAACTAGCACCAGGTTACCTTATCTTATAATATTATTTGCTGTTAAAATGAAATTTTAAAACAGCACCAAAAGTTAAGTTGGGGCTAAAACTGTTGTGCAGGAAAGATTTCATATAGCAGGAGAGAGACTGCCGTCCTCAGAAAGACCCGCATGCAAGCCTGGCCCTTGGCTGTTGTTTAGGAAATTGGAATTGGGAGGGTTCCCACCATGCCCTAAGACTGGTCACTGTGTCTAAAGTGTTTATAGAAACAATGCGGTTACTTCTGAGCAGCTGCTTTCCTTCTGAAGGTCGGAATGTGGGTACATGTGAGGGAGAGTAACCTCCATAAAAAACACTTGGGTACTGAGTCTCTAATGAGATTCTGGTACTGGTAGACATCACTGCACATGGGTTGTCAAAATGTGAGGCTGGGGGAATTAAGCAGATCCTGGGAACTCCACAGGAGAGAACTTCTGGAAGCTTGTGCCTGGTTTCCTCCAGACTTGACCACCACATGCACCTTTTCCCTCTCATTTTGCTTGTACCCTTTCATTGTAATCAATTAAAGATCTGAATATGATTATTTGCTGAATCCTGTGAGTCCTTCTAGTGAATCACCAAACCTGGGGGTGGTCTTGGGAACCCTTGTCACAAATGCATTATATAAGGTTTTTATTAAGTTGACATGACCTATAATCAGATGGTTATTTCACAGAATAACTTTCCCTAATCTGTTTTTCTTTTCTTTCCTTGATATTTGACTTGGAGGTTCTTGTATTTCTATACTCAACTGATTAAAGCCATAAAAGAAATAAGTGAAGCAATTGTTAGAAAATAATGGGAAATAAGCAGCAATCCTAGTTTTACCAGAATAAAAAATAGGGAATCTTGATGATTGACAATATGTTCTACAATATGAATGTTTCTAGAAACAAAAAATGAAAAGGTGGTCAATTTTCTGCAACTCAACTGGGCTTAATTCCTTTTTATAATAATTGTGCAGGCCAGGTGTGGTGGCTCACATCCGTAAAATCCTAGCATTTTGGGAGGCCGAAGCAGGAGGATCACTTGAGCCCAGAAGTTCCAGACTTCCAGACCAGCCTGGGCAATATAGTGAGGAAAAAAAAACCTTAAAAGGAAAATTAGCCAAGCGTGGTGGGGCATGCCTGTAGTCCCAGCTACTCGGGAGGCTGAGGTGAAAGAATCATTTAAGGCCAGAAAGCAGAAGTTGCAGGGAGCCAAGATAGATCCCACCACTGCACTCCAGTACTGGCAACAGAGGGGGACCTGTCTCAAAAAATAATAATAATAAAAATGAATAAATAAATAAACAAATGATTGTGTATCCAGCTAGATGTAACTACACATAGCTACAATCCCAGCTACTCAGGAGGATGAGGTGGGACGACTGCTTGAGCCCAGAAGTTCCAGGCTACAGTGAGCTATGACTGTACCACTGAATAGACACAATATTCTAGCCTGGGCAACATAGAGAGAGCCCATCTCTTATAATAATGATAATAAATTAATTGTGCATCATTCAAGTAACTTGTATAACTGGAAAAAAACATAACCATTGAATATAGTATAATAGTATAACTACTGATCATAGAGTTCCTTTTACTTGCCCCTAATCTTTTCATTTCTCATAAGACTAAAACATGGTTGACCCATTCAAGGCAGTTCATCACAGAACAAGTCAAAAAGCCAAAAGAATTGCATCCAAGCTGTAGGCTGTGTTATCCACTACTCCCTGCAAGCAGTGGATTTGGTCATTAACAATCAGCAGGACTTTTAACTTTGTGTGCATGTGTGTGTGTGCGCACCCGAACGCACATGTGTGTATGTGCACGTGTGTGTGTAAACTATGACAGATAAAACCATTTTGCTTATGTAAGAATATGTAACATAACTTGTGCTTCTCACAAAGGAATTGCTTTTCTGTTTTCTGCACTCAGTAGGTATCTTCAAACAATAATCTCCTATTCGTATGGGTGCACACTGGTTCACTTTTACAGTTCTTACTGCCATTTATTTATTCTACGAGAAAGGGATTGTTGAGTTCCCGGTTCTAAAGATACTTCCTTAGTGACACAAATTAACAGGTAATACAGTTCACCCTTGAACAGCAAGGGTTTGAACTGCAGGAGTTCATTTATATGCAGATTTTCTTCTGCCTCTGCAACCCAGAGACAGCAAGACCAACCTCTCTTCCTTCTCAGCCTGAACAACCTGAAGATGATAAAGATGAAGACCTTTGTGAGGATCCATTTACGCTTTATGAAAAGTCAATATATTTTTCCTGCAGATTTTCTTTCTAACAGCTTCACTTGTCTAGCTTACTTTATTGTAAGAACACAGTATATAATAATGCAGCACAAATAAAATAGGTATTAATCGACCGTTTATGTTATCAGGAAGGCTTCCAGTCAATAGTGGGCTATTAGTAGCTAAATTGGGAAAATCAAAAGTTATACTTAGATTTTCAGCTGCACTGGAATCAGAGCCCCTAACCCCCACATTATTCATGGGTCAAGTGTAATTATGTATTTACTAAATATAAACAATTTATTATAAAAATAAACAACTTATTACAAAAATGAACTAGAAGATCCATATGTATAACAAGTCCAATTTGTTACAATGTGACTATAGAGAAAACATAAATATTATATAGGATTTTCAGGATCATAATTAAGTAAATGATTTTTTTTTTCAGATAATACTGTTTGAGATTATAAATCAGCTACAACTACCTTCTTAAATAACTCTTAATTCCAAACTAAAGAAGTTAAATATAAGAAACTAATTTACATGTATGTATATATGTATATATACATGCAATTTACACATCTTTTTAAACTTTTCTTTTCCTTCAAAACTACCTTAATCTTACATCTTAATTTTTTTAAACCAAGAGTAGGACCACCATGAGAAATGAGAAATTCACTATCAGAAGTCTTACCTGGATTGTAAGTTTTAAGAATCTTCTTTTTAAGTTCCAAAATTTGGTGTCGAATTCTGTATATAAAAAAGTAATAAATAAAATTGCTATTTTAATACTGAAATAAAAGTTACCATATTAAATTCTTAATGTTTGGTAAATGTATAATCAAACTGATTCTTTTTTCCTCGCTGGCTAAAACAAAATACATCTTCGCACATCAACGTACTTCTATATCTATTGTCACCTTTGATGGTCACATATTATTGCATCCTATGGATGCAACTGAAATTTACTTATAAGATCCATTCTATGGGTTCTTTTTAAAATAAGTGCTGTGAAAAACAAAGTGCATGTATCTCTATTTCCCAAGGGTATTTTAGTATAATGGAATTGAAGGGTAACGGGCATACGCATTTTTAAAATATAGTACTTACCACCAAATTATCTATTTAAAAAGTAATCAGCAACTTAAACTTCAGGCAGCAGTATAAAAAACATCCTCACACATTGTGGATAGAAAACAGTTTCATTCCTCTTTTAATTTAAATTCTTATACCAGAAAAGCAAAGGCTTTTTTTCCTATTTACATAAGAAACTTGTAGATCTGCAAAAAAGTACTTTGCCCCCTTTTACAGTTTTTGATTATTTGATTTGAAAGAATTCCCTGTAAAATGAAGATGCACTTTTCAGGCCGGGCGCGGTGGCTCACACCTGTAATCCCAGCACTTCTGGATGGCGGCTCACTGCAAGCTCCCCCTCCCGGGTTCACAGCATTCTCCTGCCTCAGCCTCCGGAGTAGCTGGGACTATGGGCGCCCACCACCACGCCCGGCTATTTTTTTTTTTTTTTTTTGTATTTTTAGTACAGACAGGGTTTCACCGTGTTTGCCAGGATGGTCTCAATCTCAATCTCCTGACCTCGTGATCCGCCCACCTCGGCCTCCCAAAGTGCGGGGATTACAGGCGTGAGCCACCGCGCCCAGCCCTAAAATTTTTACAAATGTCATTACAATAGTAAAAGACAGTAGGTGTCATGCAAAAATGTTAAAACCTTGATTTTTTCATTCGGCTTATGTAAAATTGATAATCACAGAAAGAGCTCACATTTTGAGAAAAATGTGTCTTCCCATTCAGGAACACAGAACCCACCTCCCACTTCCAAGTTTCCTTCTAAGAACCTTCAGTAAAGAACCGATCTACACAGGTGGATACGGATGTAAAACGGACAGTTTTAGGTGAGAGCTTTTCGCTACTGAAAATGACTCACGGTTTTTTGTTTGTTTGTTTGTTTTTCTTTTTGGAGATGGAGTCTCACTCTGTTGCCAAGGCTGGAGTGCAGTGGCACCATCTCGGCTCACTGCAAGCTGCGCCTCCCGGGTTCACGCCATTCTCCTGCCTCAGCCTCCCGAGTAGCTGGGACTACAGGCGCCCGCCACCACGCCCGGCTAATCTTTTTTTTTTTTTTTTGTATTTTTAGTAGAGACGGGGTTTCACCGTGTTAGCCAGGATGGTCTCGATCTCTTGACCTGGTGATCCGCCCGCCTCGGCCTCCCAAAGTGCTAGGATTA